>NC_000017.11:7309292-7460807 GCF_000001405.40 Homo sapiens | reverse complement strand
TCCCTTCAAAATAGCACCTTACACCCCATCTTTGACTCAGTTCCCCACACCCAAAGATCCCAGCCTAGGGATGGGGTACAGGGACTTTAAATAGTCCCTAATCCCTAATTTGCACTAGTTAACCCTGGTCAGGGTCCCTGTATTTCCTTCCAGTGGGGGAGATAAATGTTTGCTCCTAATTCTCTTTGAAAACTGGGCCTCCCTGCTCTGTGATTGGATAAATATTTCCCATCCCACCCACCTCCCCCCAAAAAATAGCTCACAAGGGGAGAGCCAGTATGGGGGAGCAAATTTGACAAATGGGAATTAGAGGAGTGCAGTTTTAAAAGGAAAAGTTGCTGTCATCAAAATGGCAGCCTTTTCCCCAGCTACTGTTTTTGGGGCCAAGATGGCTGCCCTAGCAGCAATCACTGCCAAGGGCAAGATCATGGCTTTTGGAGGGAGGTGAGTTTAGGGAGGGCCAGGACCATCCTCCTACCCCTCATACCCTCCCAGCATATACAAAAGGGGAGGTTTTAGACAGGCTCCCTGAATGTTAACCACAGAGGAGTCACTCCTTCATTCCTCCTCTGTCTCTTTGCACTTTTCTTGGTCTTGGCCACAGCCTGAGTGACGAATTTCCTACTGAATGTACCAAGTTCCAATTTTTAAGGGGGGGAAAGGTTTCAAATGGGGAAAAACACACAAAAAAAAAAATCACTAAAAATTCCCACAAATCTTGTTTCTGGCACTTTAGAAAAACTGCAAAAAAATACGTAATAAAGAATACATATATATATATCTACACACAAATTATATATCTATCTATCTATACAGCGGAACCACAAGAGAGACTGAGGAAGGCCTGGAGGCAGGGGCAGAGGTGACGACAGTGCCCCTATATCCTTAACCCATACTCCTCTGAGGCAAACAGGCATGGGAAAATGGAAGGGTTGAGGATGGACCGGAGAATTGGAACTTCAGAATAGGTCAAAATTCCAAAACCATGGACATTTTTTTTTGGGAGAATTGAGATTGTAGACATTTTTTTTTTCTTAAATATGATCAAGGAAAATAGCTTCCAGAATGTGGTGGTTCTGGGCAACAAATGAGATTGTGGCGACGTGGAGATTAAAATATATGTATTTGAGCTGGGGAATTTGAATATTGTGAGTTTCAGATGTTGGAAATTTGGGATTTTGCAGTTTTGTCTTTTGAAAATGATCAAGTCTTGTCAGTTCGTGCCCTCTTTCCCCATGTTCCCTGGGAAGACGGGTGGTGGCAGAGTGAGAAGGCCACTGGTTCTGTGCCGCAGCACGCAAAATTTAGAATTCTACAGACTAGCTCTATACGTAGTGAGGACCCAGATTTAGAGAAACTGACCAATATTTATCTCCGCATTTGTGTGTGTGTCCAACTCTGTAGGCCAATAAACCAACAAGACAAATGAACTGTGCTCCACAGTGGGATGCCAGGTGCAATTATTTGCGTGGCTGGTGGGTCTGGGGGAAAGGAACATGCTAACTTTGTCCCACAAGGATCCCTGTGAGTTGTGGCCCAATGCTCCCTGTTTGGACGCAACTTCCAGCAGTTGAGTAGTTGAGTGAGGGCTTGTTGACTGTAGGCTCAAGCTGACTTTGGCCCAACATCCAGCCAGAAATATTAACAGTCTAGTTCATACAACCTGCTGGGCGCGAGATCTCTATGTCCAAAATGGCCCTGCCTTAAACCAGGTCTAACCTTCCTTCCAAATTGAAAGAAAACTGAGGCATAAAATGTGTGATGGCCATAAGAGACACAACCTTTCTTTTTCCACTTGTGGCTTCCCCATTGGCTTCAATTCGTTGCCCCCTGTATCTTTTCTAGTGTTACGGAGGGATGGGCAGGTAAACTAAGTGACGTGGGTCAGGTTTACAGGGGCTTTGAGGAATTATGGTATGAATAACTTGACCAGAGTGGCAGCCACTAAGCTCTACACAAGTTGTTGCCAACAGGGGAATCAGGCCTGGTGTTACTATAGTTTTTTGTTGTTGTTGTTGTTTGAGATGGAGTTTCGCTCTTGTTGCCCAGGCTGGAGTGCAGTGGCACGATCTTGGCTCGCTGCAACCTCCACCTCCCAGGTTCAAGCGATTCTCCTGCCTCAGGCTCCTGAGTAGCTGGGATTACAGGTGCACGCCACCACATCCAGCTAATTTTTGTATTTTTAGTAGAGACGGGGTTTCAGCATGTTGGTCAGGCTGGTTTCGAACTCCTGACTTCGTGATCTGCCTGCTTCAGCCTCCCAAAGTGCTGGGATTACAGGCATAAACCACCACGCCCGGACTACTATAGTTTTTAAAATTATCTTTGAGGCTGGGTGTGATGGCTCATACCTGTAATCCCAGCATTTTGGGAGGCCAAGGCAGGTGGATCACTTGAGCTCAGAAGTTCAAGACCAGCCTGGGCAACATAGTGAGACCCTGTCTCTATAGTTTTTTTTTAAATAAGATTATTTTCAAGAGAAGCCAGGAAGCCAAATTTCTCATGAAATATCCACATTTTAAAAGCAGTGAACTAGTAGCCAGGCGTGATGGCTCACGCCTGTAATCCCAGCACTTTGGGAGGCCGAGGCGGGCAGATCACGAGGTCAGGAGTTCTAGACCAGCCTGGCCAACATAGTGAAACCCCATCTCTACTAAAAGTACAAAAATTAGCTGGGCATGGTGGTGTGGGTCTGCAGTCCCAGGTACTCAGGAGGCTGAGCCAGGAGAATCACTTGAACCCGGGAGGCAGAGGTTGTGGTGAGCCGAGGTCCCGCCACTGCACTCCAGCCTGGGCAACACAGCGAGACTCTGTCTTGAAAAAAAATAAAAAATAAAAGTAGTGAACTAGTTCAAATTTAAAACTGTGCAGGCCAAACAAAAAACACACCGTTGCAACCTCTGATACATATCGCATAGTGCTTTTTTCCCATCTCCTGTGATCCCCAGACAATCCTATAGGGCATATGCTATCATTAGTTTCATTTTACAGATGTCGAAACAAGTACAGAGCAAGCTAGTGGCTTGTGTGAGCACCAAGGTTGGAACTTGAATGAAGGCCTTCAAAACGCTTGTTTTTTCTCATTACCAATGCATGCTTGTAGAAATAACTTTTTTTAATCCCAGAGATAGTACACATTACAAAACATAATAAATTACAGAAAGGTAAAAAGAAAACGACCACAAGACCCAACATGCAAACAATAAGCACTACTTTATTTCTATTTTTATTTTTTTAGAGACAGGGTCTCACTATGTTGCCCAGGCTGGTCTCAAACTGTGGGTTTCAAGTAATCCTCCCACCTCAGCCTCCTAAGTCACTGGGATTACTGGCCTGAGCGACCATGCCCAGCTTATAAACATTATTAATTGCTGTATTTACTTCCGGAAATTTCTTTCCCCTATTCAACAAATGTTAAGCACTTACTATAGGTCAGCACCTGTGCGTGGCACTGGGCATGCTGCAGTGAACAAGACACTTTTTTTTTTTTGAGATGGAGTTTCGCTCTTGTTGCCCAGGCTGGAGTGCAATGGCGTGATCTTGACTCACTGCAACCTCTGCCTCCCGGGTTCGAGTGATTCTCCTGCCTCAGCCTCCCTAGTAGCTGGGATTACAGGCATGTACCACCACACCTGGCTAATTTTGTATTTTTAGTAGAGACAGGGTTTCTCCATGTTGGTCGGGCTGGTCTCAAACTCCCGACCTCAGGTGATCCGCCCGCCTTGGCCTCCCAAAGTGCTGGGATTACAGGCGTGAGCCACCGCGCCCGGCCAAGTCACATTTCTTGACCTCATAAGGCTTATAATCTAGTTCCTGTTCTGTGTTCTATTTCACTGGCGACCTAGGTGTTGATACCCAAAAGAGCTTCTTCAAGATCCCAAAGAGTAAATCAGATGATACTGCATTTCAGGTGGGTCCAAGACACCTGCCTACCCAGCCCTCAGTCCAATGCAGTCCCCAGAAACGAAATAAGAGGCCCAGATTCCTCGTGAAGGAGTTAAGAGGCAGAGAAGGATAGGGCTTGACAGTATCACCAAACTCTCACTTCAACTGGCAGGGGGCCTGGGTCTCAACCCTCCAGTCTTCAAGGAAAGGGGTCTGGAGGGGGCAAGTGGTACGTGGCGTCCAGGAAGATGACTAGGGTCCCAACGCTGGTGAAGATGATGAAAGTCCACAGGAAGAGGCGGTCCACTACCATGGCCACAAACTGCCAGTCCTCCTTCAGCTGTGGGTAGGCAAAGGAAACTTCCTGAGCTCTGGGCCCAGACCCCCAGGGAAACCCCCCCATTTCCCCGCCCGCTACCCGCTTGAGTCCTCCTACCACTGGTTTGAGGCAACAGCCGGCAGCGCCAACAGGAGAGCGAGACTGCAGGCAATGCATGGGCATAAAGAACCAGTAGGTAAGCAGGGGGTGGGACCAAATGAGGGAGAGGTCCAATCAGAAACGAAAGCGAGGCCGGGCGCGGTGGCTCACGCCTGTAATCCCAGCACTTTGGGAGGCCGAAGCGAGCGGATCACCTGAGGTCAGGAGTTTCAGACCAGCCTGGCCAACATGGTGAAGCCACGTCTCTACTAAAAATACAAAAATTAGCCAGGCGTGGTGGCGCGCCCCTGTCGTCCCAGCTACTCGGCAGGCTGAGGCAGGACAATCGCTTGAACCCGTAGGCGGAGGTTGCAGTGAGCCGAGATCGAGCCACTGCACTCCAGCCTGGGCGACAGAGCGAGACTCTGTCTCAAAAAAAAAAAAAAAAAAAAAAAGCCAAAAAAAAACCACACAAAAAAAACGAAAGCGAGTGCTGGTGCGGAATTTGGGGGTGGGGCCAAGGTCGCCTAGACCTGGCCTTGTTCCACCCCCGTTGGACATACCGCATCGTGGTCCTCCTGTTCCTGCAGCTGTCGAGCGATGTAGCTGATAGAGGAGACGACCTCCCGTAGCTCCGGAAGCAGGGCCACAGCCCGGTTTGGACCATCGATAAATCGCCGCAGATCAGGGGCAGACAGTTCAGGCTGGAACCTGGAAGAGGAGTGACTGGCCACGCCCAAACGCAAAGACAGCCAGTGCCGGCGACCCAGGCCCCGCTCCAGCTGCCTCCAACAACTTGCCAGTTCTCAAAACCCGAGAGCCCATCATGCTTTTCCCTCCAGCAGTGATCTCTCTAGCCTTGTGCAACTTCTTCCACCGCCTCTGTTTTAGTTCCCACCTCCCCTCAAAGTGAGCAGCAGGAGTACTACAACTCCCATGATGCTCAACCACAGCGTCTTCCGAGAGCATGGGCCGCTTCTTCCGCACACTCTTCTGGGAACTGTAGTTCTCCCTCTCCCTCTTATGTGGGTAACGGGCGTAGTCCTACCTATTGGGTTTGGGGAAGAGAAAATCACTTGGCGGCTTCCGGATGAAATATTCATCTGTTCCCCGACCCCAGCCACTTCCTGGAGAAGAACAGTGAGGGGGCTCCGGCATCAGGTCTCTCTCGGGTTTGGGCCTTTTTAGACGCAGGTACAGCGGAAGTTTGTGAATGAAGATCTGCAGAGTAGAAGAGGCGTATTGGTGGGGGCTTTCATGCTTTCAGACCAGAAGGGAAACAGCCAACCACCCCACTCCACATGCCCATTCCCGCGCGTGAGTATGTGCGTGCATATTCTTCCACAAACGAGCTACACAAGGAAATGCAGCCACACAGACCTAAGAGCTCTTTAGTGGGTTGGGCCTGTCGCGGTGGCTCACGCCTGTAATCGCAGCACTTTGGGAAGCCAAGGCAGGTGGATCACCTGAGGTCAGGAGTTCAAGACCAGCCTGGCCAACATGGTGAAACCCTCTCTCTACTAAAAATACAAAAATTAGCTGGGCGTGGTGGCGGGTGCCTGTAATCCCAGCTACTTGGGAGGCTCAGGCAGGAGAATCGCTGGAACCTGGGAGGTGAAGGTTGCAGTGAGCTGAGATTGTGCCATTGCACTCCAGCCTGGCCACAAGAACAAAACTCCATCTCAAAAAAAAAAAAAAAAAAAAAAAAAAGCTATTTAGTGGGTTGGGAGGTATCCCAACTGGAAAGAGAGGGCTTCCAATCTGATAGTACCTAACCCTAAGAATATTTCCCTGGGACCCGAGATGGGCAGTATTGATGAAGAGAGTATGGGATCTGTGAAATGATAATGATGGGGGCTAGCTTAACTGTGCAACATTTCAACACTCAACAAGCTTGGACACTTCAACACTCTGCCACATAGCTATAGTTCTCCCTATGGTCTGTAAAAGGAAAATTGGGGTTGGAGGAGGAGATCTTTCTTACCTGACGGACCCAAAGGGGCATTTGGTGGGTGTGGGGTGAGCGGTGGTGCAGGTTGAGAACCACGACACTAAGGATGACTGAGAAGGTGACGAGGACCATGGTAAACATGAGGTACTTGATAATAATGGGTACTGATAGTGAGGTCTCAGGTACTTTGTCAGCCAGCAGCAGCAGGAACACAGTAAGGGTCAGCAGGGCAAAGATTGAGAGCCCCATCTTCTCTCCTTGGAGGGCAGAGGGGAAGAGAGAAGGATTAGACTTGCCTGAAGGAAAGCTCTATGGCATAATCAGTGACCATGTTTCCAGGCCATTCAAAGACAGATTTCTACAGCCAGGCACAGTGGTTCACACCTGTAGTCCTGGCACTTTGGGAGGCCAAGGTGGGAGGATTGCTTGAGCCCAGGAGTTTCAGACCAGCCTGAGCAACATAGGGAGACCTCTTTTCTACAAAAACAAATTTGAGGCTGGGTCTTGCTCTGTCACCCAGGCTGGAGTGCAGTGGCATGATAATGGCTCATTGAAACCTCCACTTCCCAGGCTCAAGTGGTCTTCCCACCTCGGCCTCCTGAGTAGCTGGGACTACAGGTGCACGCCACCATGCCCAGCTAATTTTTGTACTTTTTGTAGAGACAGGATTTCACCATGTTACCCAGGCTGGTCTCAAACTCCTGAGCTCAAGTGATCCACCCACCTTGGCCTCCCAAACTGTTGGGATTACAGGCGTGAGCCACTTTGCCCAACCTCTACAAAAAGAAAAAAAAAAAAATTAGCCAGGCACAATGGCGCATGCTTGTGGTCCCAACTATTTGAGAGGCTGAGTTGGGAGGACTGCTTGAGTGTGGAAGATGGAGGCTGCAGTGAGCTGTGATGGCACCACTGCCTTCCAGCCTGAGCAACAGAGCAAAACTCCATCATAAAAAAAAAAAAAAAAAAAAAAAGACAGGCTTTTGGAAGGGCCATCTGCATGTAAATCATTCCTACATTTGTATGTCCACCCTGGACTTCTCCCCTGAATGCCAGATATATATCCATCTGCCTACTCAACCTCTCTTGGATAGTTGGATGTCTAATAAATATTTCAAGCTTAACATGTCCAAAACTGAGCCGGGTACAGTGGCTCACACCCGTAATCCCAGCACTTTGCGAGGCCGAGGCAGGCGAATCACCTGAGGTCAGGGGTTCGAGACCAGCCTGGCCAACATAGTGAAACCCCATCTCTACTAAAAATACAAAAAATTAGCTGGGCATGGTGGTGGGTGCCTGTAGTCCCAGCTACTAGGGAGGCTGAGGCAGGAGAATCACTCGAACCCAGGAGGCAGAGGTTGCAGTGAGTCGAGATCGTGCCATTGCACTCCAGCCTGGGCATCAAGAGCAAAACTCCATCTCAAAAAACAAAAGCAGAAACAAAATAAAACAAAATGTCCAAAACTAAATTATCTTACTACCAAAGCTACTCCTCTGATAGTCTTCCCTATCTCTTATGTATTTATTTATTTTTAGACAGACTCTCACTCTGTCACCCAGGCTGGAGTTTAGTGGCGTGATTGCAGCTCACTGCAACCTCTGCCTCTTGGGTTCAAGCAGTTCTCCTGTCTTAGCCTCCCGAGCAGCTGGGATTACAGGTGCATGGCACCACACTTGGCTAACTTTTTGTATTTTTAGTAGAGACAGGGTTTCACCATGTTGGCCAGGCTGGTCTTGAACTCCTGACCTTAAGGGATCTGCCCACCTTAGCCTCCCAAAGTGCTGGGATTACAGGCGTGAGCCACCACGCCTGGCCTATACCTACGTTTAATTGCATGCAGATTAAGCAACGGATTAGGCAGAAATTTCTAGGGAAAGGGCAGTAACTTCTGTGTCATCAGGTGATTGCCAAAGGGGTGGTAACTCCCAGGTGTTTCCATGGCAATGGTAAACTGACATGGCACACTCGTGAGTATGTCTTATGGAAAGCTGCATCTGCCCTGTTCCTGTTCTAGCTGGTCCTCAATTTGGTCTGGAGTCGAGTCCCACCTCCTACATCACCACCTTGCTCTAAAGCACATTACCTTAGGTCTGAATTATTGTAAAGCCCTCCTAACTGGTCTCTTTGCTCCATCCTTTTCTCCCATGCTGACTGTTCTCAACCGAGCAGCCAGACTGATTTTGTTAAAATATAAATCAAGCTGGGTGCGGTGGCTCATGCCTGTAATCCTAGCATTTTGGGAGGCTGAGGCGGTCAGATCACCTGAGGTCAGAAGTTCGAGACCAGCCTGGCCAACATAGCGAAACCCCATCTCTACTTAAATTACAAAAAATTTAGCTGGGCATCGTGGTGTGTGACTGGAATCCCAGCTACTCGGGAGGCTGAGGCAGAATAATCGCTTGAACCCGGGAGGCGGAGGTTGCAGTGAGCCAAGATCGTGCCACTGCACTCCAGCCTGGGTGACAGACAGGGACTGTATCTAAAAAAAAAAAAAAAAAGAAAAAGGAAAGAAAGAAATAGAATCAGATCATATTATTCCTCTTTCCAGAACCTTCCAGTGGCTCCCCCTCTCCTGCATGAAAGCAGGGGTTGAGGGGGCTTCCAGGGCTGGGGTGGCCCTCTAGGACAGCCTGGTGTGGGTGGCGGCGGGGCTGTGGCCTCAGTGGCCCTGACTGCTGAGCATGTAGCTGAGCTTGCTGGAGTGAGGACGTCCTTGGGTGGGGGCATGGAGGACGGGCCCTGGAAGCTGCTCCAGGCCCTGGAGGGCCCAAGATTAAACAGCACCTGGCAAGAGAACCTTGCATAGCTGTCTCCAGGTTGGACAGGTGGGGCTTCAGGCCTGGAGATAAGGGCACACCAGGCCATGGTGTCCTGGACCAGAGAGCCCTGGACACCTGGGCTGCACCTGGCAGAGCTGTGCATGTGGCCTTCCTGGGCTCTTGGTGGCCGAAAGACCAACGTTAAAAAACATAACAGGCTGGGCGGGGTGGCTTACACCTGTAATCCCAGCACTGTGGGAGGCCAAGGCGGGTGGATCATTTTAGGTCAGGAGTTTGAGACTAGCCTGGCCAACATGGAGAAATCCCATCTCTACTAAAAATAGAAAAATTACTCAGGCATGGTGGCTCATGTCTGTAATCCCGGCTACCGGGGAGGGAGGCTGAGGCAGGAGAATTGCTTGAACCTGGGAGGTGGAGGTTGCAGTGAGCCGAGATCGCGCCACTGCATGCCAGCCTGGGAGACAGAGCAAGACTCTGTCTCAAAAAAAAAAAAAAAAAAAAGAAAAGAAAAGAAAAGAAAAGAACCTGAAACATCCACCCAACACATGCCCCAGTGAAACTCACTTGCCTGTTCTAGCATGCCCAAGGCCATAGCAACTCAGACCAGAAGGCCAAGGGTGTTACTCAGCATCAGTGGTTCTGGGCCTTCCTGGGTCTAGAGTCCCTTTGAAACGCAGCTGGTTATGGTCTATAGGTCCTTCCCATGAGCTCCTTGACTTCATCTCCTACTGCTTTCCCCTCTGCTTACTTCATTCAGTTCTACTGGCCTCCTTTCTGTTTCTTGAGTACTCCTGACCTCAGGTGATCCACCAGCCCCAGCCTCCCAAAGTGCTGGGATTACAGGTGTGAGCCACCACGCCCAGCCTGCTTTCCTTCTTTAGACAAAGGATTTGATGGCAGAGAGGAGGAAAGCATGTTTTGAATACCAGAGCTAAGGATATCAGGTCTCTGAATCAGACTGCCACTGACCCAGGTTGGAATTGCAACACTGCCCCTCTCTAACTGTGTAATGATTTCAGGCAAATGACTTAAACTCCTTCAGCCTCTTTATCCTCCACTGTAAAATGAGAATGACAATTCGTTACTTACCTCACAGGATTGTTGTAAAGTTTAGAATTAGTACATGTACCATGTTAAATGAATTACCTTATAGCAAGTGTTCAAAAAAGAAAAACAAAAAACAACCCAAAACCCAGTGCTTACATAGAACTTACTGGGTGCCAGGCATAGTTCTATTAACTCTGTCAATCCTCAAAATAATTCTAGGCGGTAGGGACAATGGTTGGCCCACTTCCAGATCAGGAAACTGAGACACATAGGGATTAAGGAATTTGGCCAGGTGTGGTGGCTGATGCCTATAATCCTAGCACTTTGGGAGGCTGAGGCAGGTGGATCACTGAGGTCAGGAGTTCGAGACCAGCCTGGCCAACATAGTGAAACCCCATCTCTACTAAAACTACAAAAATTAGGCAGGCATGGTGGTGGGCACCTGTAATCCCAGCTACTCAGGAGGCTGAAGCAGGAGAATCGCTTGAACCCAGGAGGTGGAGGTTGCAGTGAGCCAAGATCATGCCACTGCATTCCAGCCTGGGCAACGGGGCAAAACTCTGTCTCGAAAAAAAAAAAAAGATTAAGGAATTTGCCAAAAGTTATCCTATTTTGCTGCCTCCTAAAGATATGTTGACTATTACTATTATTTATTTATTTATTTATTTATTTATTTATTTATTTATTTTTTGAGACAGAGTCTGTCTCCCAGGCTGGAGTTCAGTGGCACAATGTCGGCTCACTGCAAGCTCCGCCTCCCGGGTTCACGCCATTCTCCTGCCTCAGCCTCCCAAGTAGCTGGGACTACAGGCGCCCGCCACCACACCTGGCTAATTTTTTGTGTTTTTAGTAGACATAGAGTATCACCATGTTAGCCAGGATGGTCTCAATCTCCTGACCTCGTGATCCACCCACCTCGGCCTCCCAAAGTGCTGGGATTACAGGCGTGAGCCACCGCGCCCGGTGGCTATTACTATTATATATTTCCCAGGGAGATAGGAGGTTAAAGGACTAGTGGGGGCCGAGCGCGGTGGCTCATGCCTATAAGCCCAGTACGTTGGGAGGCTGAGGCGAACAGATCGCTTGAGTTCAGGAGTTGCAGACCAGGCTGGGCAACATGGTGAAACCCTTTCTCTACCAAAAATACAAAAAAATCAGCTGGGCATGATTGTGGGTGCTTGTGGTCTCAGTTACACAGGAGGCTGAGGTGGGAGGATTGTTTGAGCCCAAGAGTTTGAGGCTGTAGCAAGCCATGATCACACCACTGCACTCCAGCCTGGGCAAAAGAGCAAGACTCTGTCTCAAAAAAAAAAAAAAAAAAAAAAAGGTCGGGCCCTGTGGCTCACGACTGTAATCCCAGCACTTTGGGAGGCCGAGGCGGGCAGATCATGAGGTCAGGAGATCGAGACCATTCTGGCTAACACGGTGAAACTCCGTCTCTACTAAAAATACAAAAAATTAGCCGGGCGTGGTGGCGGGCACCTGTAGTCCCAGCTACTCGGGAGGCTGAGGCAGGAGAATGGCGTGAACCCGGGAGGCAGAGCTTGCAGTGAGCCGAGATTGCACCACTGCACTCCAGTCTGGGTGACAGAGTGAGACTCCATCTCAAAAAAAAAAAAAAAAATTAAAGGAGTAGTGGGAGTCTGAAAGTGGGCAGGGAATGTTGGGAAAGGGAATGGGAGAGCTATCTAAGCCTGGAGGTTTGTGGTTCAGAGGAGTAAAGGCTTTATGGATTAGAGGCTAGGACTCCTATTAGGAAAGAGTTCCAGTTTCACTGAGCGGAGGAAAGGTGGCAGTCAACGGGAGGCAGAGCCTGGGCGGGATTGCTGAAGCCCAATCTATGATGCTTTGGATTGGCAGGAAAACCCTGCCTGGATTAAGGATAAAGAGTAAGAAGCTGAGCCAATGACAAAAGAGTAAGGAGCCCCTTCCCCCATTACCTGCATCTGGTGGCAGGTAGAAGACGAAGATGGCCAGAAGAGTGATGAGGATGCATGGGGCAATGACGTTGACCAGGTAGAAGAGAGGCTTGCGGCGGATGATGAGGTAGAAGATGACTTCCTGGCGCTGTCCTTCCCTCCCTCCCCTAGGATCGCCTGGAGGCTGGATTAGCCGAGAGGGCTTGTGGATAATCTCCCACTGGCCATTCTCTGGGGATGAGCAGAAGGAGGGGAACACAGATGTGAGAGCTGTCCTGGTTAGTGCCAGGTATGGCTTGCTCTGCCACAGCCTAGACCTGAGAGGGCTGACTTGATGAAACTAGCTGTGAAAACTGGGCTGAGTAGCCCATCTCTAATAAACTTGGGCAAGTCTCAATTTCCATATTTTTATTTATTTATTTTGAGACAGAGTTTTGCTCTTGTTGCCCAGGTTGGAGTGCAGTGGCGTGATCTCGGCTCACTGCAACCTCCGCCTCCCAGGTTCAAGTGATTCTCCTGCCTCAGCCTCCCAAGTAGCTGGGATTACAGGTGTCCACCACCACACCTGGCTAATTTTTTGTATTTTTAGTAGAGACGGGGTTTCACCATGTTGGCCAGGGTGGTCTCGAACTCCTGACCTCAGGTGATTTGCCCGCCTCCACCTCCCAAAATACTGAGATTAAGTCGTGAGCCACTGCGCCAGGCCCTTTTTTTTTTTTTTTTTTTTTTTTTTTTGAGACGAACTTTCACTCTGTTACCGAAGCTGGAGTGCAGTGGCGCCATCTCGGCTCACCGCAACCTCCACCTCCCAGGTTCAAGCGATTCTCCTGCCTCAACCTCCCAAGTAGCTGGGATTACAGGCATCTGCCACCATGACTGGCTAATTTTTTGCATTTTTAGTAGAGACGGGGTTTCACCACGTTAGGCTGGTCACGAACTCCAGACCTCAAATGATCCGCCCGCCTCGGCTTCCCAAAGTACTGGGATTGCAGGCATGAACCACTGCCCCCGGCAATTTCCATACTTTTAAAATGTAGATAGCCATACCCATCCTGCTGACCCCACAGGGCTATATTGGGCATCACTGACAGTATATTTATGAGTCTGTTAGAAGCTGGAAATGATAGAGCCCATGGATGTAGGAGCCATGCCTACTCACCAATGAAAGTCCCTTCATGAATGTGGATTTCCTGATGCCCTTGCCCGTCAGGACCCAGGCCTGTCTGCAGGCTGACCTCCGAGCTGTCGTAGCTGTAGGAGCTGAACACCATAGTGCAATTCTGCCAGTCGAAGGGGAAGTAGGTGACCTGGATGGAGGAGAGAGTCACTAGAGCTGCCAGAGAACCAGTCAGCGCTGGTGGAGTTTGGGAGGTCTTTGGGGAGGGCACAGAGAAGGGAAATCATGGAGGAATTGGAGGGTTATGAAGGGAAGCCATTAATGGGGGAGGGATGGGGAGGGCGGTCACTGAGTAAGACTAGAAGTCAAAGAAAGTGTACAGAACACTCAATGGAAAACCAGGAGGGTAGACGAGGTGAGGGTCATGGGGATTAGATAATGGGGGAAGGATGAAGGATGGGAGTCGCCGGGGAGTCAGGATGTCTAAGGAAAGGGAGGATTTGTAAGAGCTCCTTCAGCTTCCAATGTGGAGGCCGGAAACCTGGATGCTGCAGCTGCTGCGATAGATGCCCGGGGGTTGCCAACGCACGGAGCCGTCGGAGGACACCACGACGCTAATGTCCAGAGCCACGTCAAAATTCCCATCATTGCTGCAGAGAAGGGATCTCATCAGGGATCAGGCCCCGCGCCCGGAGGCCCCCCGCCCCCCGAGGCCCCGCGCCACCTCCCGGGCTTTGGAAGTTCTCCTACTTGTTCAGTAGCACCACGTCAGGGAGCCACACGGATTCCGCCGTGATGCGGAGCGAATCGATGCCGTCGTGCTCCGCAGGGTCCCAGCTCAGCCTGTAGTCAGTCCACTCCTAGTGAAGCAGAGGCTGAGGGGCTGCCCCGGGTTGGAGGCCGGGAGGGACTTGGGATTTCCAAAGGAAGCCCAGGAAGGGAGTGCAAGGAAGGGGAGCAGGACAGGCATAAACTGTGGGTCAAGGGGCCGTGGTTCTGGCTCTGGCTCCGCCTTCACTCGCTGGGATCCACATCAGCTAATTTCCCTCCCCCGCACCGGGTTTCAATATTTTACTCTGTAAAAATGAGGAGGCTGCAGTAGCTAGCCTCTAAAACGGTTTTCAAACTGCAGTTCGCAATCCTTTAGTGGATGGGGAATGAAATTAGCGGCCCCAAACCAGTGTTTCAAAAATTAGAATGGGCCAGGTGCAGTGGCTCACGGCTGTAATCTCAGCACTTGTGGAGGTTCCCCCCGAGGCTGGTGGATGGCTCGAGCCCCCGCATTCAAGAACAGCCTGTGCAACATAGTGAGACCGCATCACACACACACACACACACACACACACACACACACACACACACACAGACACACACACACACACACACACAAAATTGGAATTAAAAATGCATGGGGTGTAACTCCTGTAGTAAAGTTAAGTGTTGTTTCTTCGAGCTTTTGCTTCAGTTATAAACGTGTTATCTAAAGTCATGATGTAAAAAATATTCTTACTGGGCTGGATATTCAAGGAAATTGTCAAGGCAGAGGGAAGCCCTTTCCCACCCCGTGGGGTCTCCATACCAGGTCTAAGTACACCTTTGTGCTCATCTCTTCATCCTTCTCGTTCTAGAAGGGAAAAATTTAAGGCGTAAAGGTGAAGTAGGGTGGAGAGAAATGAGGGGGCTCGGGGGGCCAACCTCTCTCCTGGGAACGCCGCCCCCTTTTTCTGAGCCCCATCCTCTCGGGTCCAAGTCCACCTCCCAGAAGCGGCGTTAGTTTAAGACCTGCCTCTATCTCAGAAACACCTCTTCCTGCCGTCTACACTCCCAGCCTATCAACCTACCAGACCCGCCCCTGCCTAGCCCTCCGCCTAGCTCTGTCCCCGGCCCTGCCTTCAGCTCATAATCCACCCAGCCCCGAACCTCCACCCGCTGCCATTTATTGACCCCTGAGCACCAAGCTCCGCCCCACCCTGGGCACTCAGGACTCATGTGGCCCTACGTCGAGGTCCGTCCCCCAGCCCCTGCCTCGTCCCCAGCCCCACTTTAAGGTCCGATCACAGGTCCGTCCTTCACCCTACCCAGTTCTACTCCAGGCCCGTCCACCACCCACGGCCAGAGCTTGTCCATTGGTCTGATTTCGATCCAATCTTCACCAAAGGCTGGTCCATCTCAGCCTGGTCTCGTCCCAGGCCCCGCCCCCAGCCTGTCCCTGGTCCGGCCTTGCCTAAAGCCACGCCCCCGGCCGGTCGGCTGGCCTGACCTCCACCCCCCGCGCGCCCTCACCAGGCTGATGAGTTGCGCCAGGATGAGACCAACGCTGACCCTGACACGGTCTCCCACCTCCCGCGCTGGCCGCACGGAGCTATCATAGCCAGAGAAAAGTTTCTCCCGGAGTCGACCCTCCGCCTCCGAGCCGCGGACGCCTGGGGGAGGAGAGAATAAGTGCAGCCCTGGTGCCTGGCCACGACCGCTGGCCCCGTCACTGCCCCTTCGGGGCCTACACTTACCTGGGGCGAGCGGCGCCCCCAGCGCCCCCAGCAGCATCAGCAGAGCCCCTGGGGTCATAGCCTGGCGGCTCGCTCAGTGACTTCGCTCAGAGAGCCGCTGGGACCGCCAGCACAGGGGAAGTGACGAGGAGCCCGGGAATGTGCACCTGTTGCTGGAGGACAGCCGCCAGCCCACCCGCCCCGCCCCCGGGACTTGATCCTGCCTCGAGCAACTGCCAAGCCCGCCACCGACAGATGACAGACAGCACTTCAGTTGTATAAATCGTCTTTAATTGAGAAAGCTGGAGTGGAGACCCGATCCCCTGGGAGCAGTGCCAGGAGTTGGGTGGAGACTGAGTGGGGTTTGTGTGGGTGAGGGGGCATCTACTCCTCTTGCAACAAGCCAGAAGTAGAACAGCCTAAGGAAAAGTGACCTGCCTTGGAGCCTTAGTCCCTCCCTTAGGGCCCCCTCAGCCTACCCTATCCAAGTCTGAGGCTATGGAAGTCTCCCTCCTAGTTCACTAGCAGGTTCCCCATCTTTTCCAGGCTGCCCCTAGCACTCCACGTTTTTCTGAAAAAATCTAGACAGGCCCTTTTTGGGTACCTAAAACCCAGCTGAGGTTGTGAGCTGTAAGGTAAAGCAAGTTCTATCCAATTAGAAGCTGTTGGGGCGTATGAGGTCTGGAGTGCAAGAGGCCTTCACCCTTCTTGGCCTGACCTGTAGGGGAGAAGGGTGAGACTTATTGCTGAATTGGGGTCTCCTCACTGGGAGGGTCAAGGCTGTATCCATTTGTCCTTTTTATTAAGGACATATTACTCTAAGGACCTCAGCTTTAAAGGGGACCTGGAAGGAATTCCTGCTGAGGTAGCTAAGTATTCATGTCCACCCAACACAGATGCAGGTTCAGTCATGCCATAATTTTGACCCCTCCCCCATCCCAGCTTCCCTACTATGAGCCAGGGATCCTTCCAAAATTCCTCTGCCCTTCTCCAGACTCTGTCTCCCTGGCACGACCTCAGCTGGGTTGAAGGAGCTAGAAACTGCATGTAAAAATAAGCTTAGCATTCTATATGGAAGAATCATATTTTTAGAGAATTATCTAGGAAAAACAAGAAATGGTTCTTGATTCATCCAGAAGTGTTTTTATGAATCATAGCTGGGTCTTTTCCAGAACTCATCCGTAATAGGTATCACTCAAGAAGGCGGGAGGGTGGGGCTAGAACTTACTTAGAACAATAATATGGCTATACAGGCCCCAGCTCCATCCTGGGTAAAAGGGCTGAGAGTCATGATCTATGTCCTAGAGCTAGGATTCAGGGGGAAGTACGGCTCCATAAAGCTCTAGAATTGGGTGTCTCTGGGATAAGAAGGTTAAACCCGTGGTCATCTGAGACTGGTTCCGGTTCAGGCCAAAGCCAACAGCTAGACAAGGCCCAAATCTAGCCTCTTTCTACTTGGAAACCAGGGGTCCATCTGAGTCAATGACAGAGGCCTGACAGATCCAGAGAAAAGGCTGGCAGCATGCCTGGGTTCCAGCACAGAGCCCTAGTGCAGAAGTGGCCCTGGCGAGGGTGTCCAGTGTTCCAGAATGTGTCCAGACCAAGGTAGAAGGTAGAGTAGGGAAAGAAGGACACATGAATCCTGAGCTCCAGTGAATCTAGAAATGGCTCAGTGGCAATGAAAAGGGGCACAGGACTCCAGGAACTGGCTGAGCCGGGGTGGGAAGTGTTTATGCCCTGGCTGTCCATGTGGGAACTCCCAGCGCCATCTCAGGAAAAGGCATGGCGTTGTGTGAGTGTGGAAAGAAAGAAGTGATCAGCCAGGACCATCTTCAGACATCCCCCTCTCTGACTCCCTCCTAGGCCCAAAGATCTAAGGGTCTCAGCAGCCTCGGAAGTCACAGTCAGCCCCTAGGCTCCCTCAGGGTAGAGCACCTAGTGGGACCTGGCTGCTCAGGGCATGTGTGTGGCAGCAGGGGTGAGAGCAGGACTGGGAGACAGGTTGTGGTGGTGGCTGGCTCACTGGGAGTGCAGGGAACCTCCAGTCCAGGGACTACATTTCAGGGGGCAGGGGGACTGGAAGGGGAGGCCTCGGGGACACTGTGGAGAGAAGGCTCCTGGTACATGGCCACTGTGAAGGGGAGAAAGAGAGGAGCAGGGAAGGAGAGTTAGGCACAGAGGGACCCAGGCAGAACCAGTGCTCCAAAAGGGCTCCCTTCCCGTACATTCACCCTCCAAGAACCCCAACCCCACAGGAGGACCGCACCCAAACCCCCAAAGGGCAAAGCCTTCCTGGCTTGATCTGTCACAAAGGGTCCTCTTATCACTTGTAGCCTGAGCTGTCTGCCCCTAAATGTCCATATCAAGGTCAATACCCTCTCCTGTGGCCCACATTTTCTTGAGTCTATACCCACCCTCCAGGAGCTTGGGCAGAAAGTGGGCAGCTGCCTTGGTCTTCTTAACTCGGTTTCCCTTCATGACCTGGCCCTCCTTGTCCAGGCCGAGGTACCAGGCCCGGCCAGAACGACGCTGGCGGTAGAGAGCAGAGGCGTACAGGACGTAGTAATTCTCAAAGACACACTCCTTAAAGCGACACTCAGCTGTGAAATGCGGCTAAGGAGACAAAGACCCAGAAAGGCGCACAAAGACAGAGAGATAAAAAGACACATCACTGGGCAGAAAGGAGCTCATGGAAAGCACAAATCCTTTTTGGGGGAGGGGGAGGACAACTTCTGAGTCCATGTAGGACCTGGGAGCAAAGGGAGGACAAGGAAGAGGGCTGAGGGCTAAGAACTAGGCTCTGGGCCAAGCACAGTGGCTCATGCCTATAATCCCAACACTTTGGGAGGCCGAGGCGGGTGGATCACCTGAGGTCAGGAGTTCCAGACCAGCCTGGCCAACATAGCAAGACCCTGTCACTATTTAAAAAAAAAAAAAAGAACTAGACTTTTAGGGGTCTTGCAATAAGATTCCTTCTCTCCACTGTACTCCCAGTCTCTCACTATCCCCTATCCTGGATGACTCTAGGGAAGTGAGTAATGACAAAATCTGGAGGAGGTGGGATAAGAAGTAGGGGCCCTAAAAGGCAGAAAGAGTTGGACATTCAAAGAACCTGGGGCTGTTTTGGGGGTGTGCAAGGAGTGGGGACTGGAGAGACCCTAGAGGAGCTGGTCTGGAATGGGCAGCGATGACAGGCCATCAGCAAAGCTGGAGGGAGGAGTCCCGGGCAAAATGTCTGTAGTTGAGGAAGGTTGTCATTCCCTCAAGGGACAAATTGAGGAAGGGGAGTCCCCAGTATTTCCCGGCCACTCAGCCTCATTGTCTCACCGAACTGTAGAGCAGTCCCTCAGCATTCATGGCCATGTAGTGACCCAGCTTGGCGCTCTGGATGGTGACCACACGGAGGCCCACAGGGATCAGGTTGAAGTGGGCTGCAGGTGGAGAGAGGGAGCATCAATACCCAGGCCTCTGACCCTCACCTGAGCTCCCCTCATCCCAGCTCCACTTTTTCCCTTAGAGGTCAGGAAGACGGATCAATGGCAACAGAAGCTGAAGAGGGAATAGGATTGTCATCTCCTGTCCCCATTCTCCCCCTTCCCACCCTGCAGCCAGCTTCCCCTCTCACTGAAGGAGCTGGTATCCTCTGGGGTGCCCTGGATGCTTCCGTCGGGATTCGCCTGGAGGTAGAAACCCTGGCGGCAGAACAGTTTGGTGACGATGCCTTTGAGCTGAGGCTCTGGAGAGAGAGACATTCATCTTTGAAAATGACATCTCCGTTCCCAGAAACATTCCTACACTTGGCAGGATTAGAGGGAAGAAAGGAGAATGAAAGGAAGGAAGAGGGTCCCAGGGCCCCAGCTCTCTTATCCTCCAAGCACGCTCTCTCCCACCTCTCTTTCACTCCTGGGAAAGCTGGTGTGGGTCCCTTCTGTTTCCTATAACCAGGAGCTTTCAGTGTAATTTATTGAAATTTATTTAAATGGCTTAATTCCTACCCTACAGCTCAACCAGAAGGGGGAAGGAGTGGGGGAGGAGGGAGGGGAGAGATATATCAAAAGGCAGGGACAGAGGGAGACCAGCAGGGGTACTGAAGGGGCAGCGTGTTTGCGAAGGTGGGGGATCTTGGCAGCAGCAAATTGACCACAGGGTAGGGGCTCTCCCTCAGGAGTGGGGGTGGGACTGGGCCTGACGCTGACTCAGCACCTGCTGCGGCTGCCGCTAGCTTGGCGAGAGCCTTGCCTTGGCCCAGCGCCGGCCTGTCTGACACTGACCCATCTGTCTGTCTGTCTGTCTGTCTGTCAGTCCGCTGGCTCCCGGGGGCCCAGTTCTCCCTGAGGCTCAGCCTCTCCCCTTCGGCCAGGTAACTCGCCTGGGGTAAGGGGGACCTTACCAAGGATATGGGGGGTGGGAGCTGAGGAGATGGAGAGGCAGGCTGAGTCACGTGGGGGCCCGGTCCTACTCAGAGGGTGGGCTGCGGATTGTACCACTATGGGCAGCCGGTGGCGCGGGGAGGAGGGCGCGAGGTGGCTACCCTTAGGGGAGCTGGGAGCGGGCGGGAGCAGGGCCAGAGGGACTCCCTGACTGTCGTACATGGACGGGGACCAATTCTAACTCTCACAACTCTCCTCCCCCATCGCTTGCTCTCTGCCGACTTCCCTGTCCCCCCTTGTAGGTGGTACGACCCCCGAGTCGGCGCCCATCTCTAGCCGTGAACTGTGTCTGAGTTCCTGCCAGCGTAGGGTCCCCTGAGCCTACGGGACCCGATTTCGGAGTGGCGCGGGGGTTATGGGAGGGGTGCCCAGCTCCGTTCTTGAAGCGCAGGTCACAGGAGGAGGGCGCATAGAGGGCTGGCTGGCGAGGTAGCTGCAAGGACACCCGAGGGAGAGCTGGGGAGATTGGCTCGGAGCCAGCAGAGCTCGACCAGGAGGAACCGAGCCCAGGCGTGGAGGAGCGGGAGAACCGGGGCAGGCGGGGGCTGGGGGGGGGCGTGCGGCTGGAGCTGCAGAAATCCTTGGGGTGACCCAGGCATCTGGAAACCCCCGGGCCCCTCCGCTCCAGATTGAAAGAATCGCGAGAACCGGCACGTAGGCGGAGGACGATGGGGGTGGGGACTGCTGTGTTGGGAAGGGGGGACGAGCAGGAACTACGAGGCTTTCGGGGCGCCAGGCAGCCCCTCAAGCCTTCCCCTTGACCTCGAAAATAAGGAGACTCCGGGTTATGGACAAAAGAGAAGGGAAACTGAGGCACAGTCTGGCAGGGACTTTGTCGTCCTGGCCCACCCCCTTCCACTTTCGGGGAGCCCCTCAGCCGGGCCCTATTCTTCAGAGTCCCTGGCCTCAATCTCCCAGGCAGAGAAACCTCTGGCCGGGAGACCCCGCCCCAGCCGCACTCACCCGGGCCGCGGTCCGGCCGCGCGGGCCGCCCCCCGCACAGTCGCACCTTGGACAGCAGGATGAGGAGCTGCTTCTGGCAAAGGGACTTGGTGCCGCGGGGACACACGCGCCGCTGCGCCGACACCGGCCGGCTGCCCCCGGGCTCGCGGACCTCCCGCTTCTGCCGGATCAGGCTACTGGCCAGCGCCGCCATAGCGCCCCGGGAGGAGACACCCCCAAACCGGCAGGCGCCCGGAGCGCGCTGGGCTCCCCCAGAGGAGCCCGCTCACTAGGGCATGCTCTTGACGCTCAGGCCCCGACTCGCTGCCCCACCCACAGGACCTGAGGATAAGCCCCAGACCCCCCCCCTCACGTACCCCCCTCCACAGCAGCCAGTTACCACCCGTGGGCCCAGTGCTGGCTCCACCAGATCCAGCAGCCTATGTACTCCTCAGTGGATCCCACCCTCGAGTTTTGCCTCCTATTGAAAACGTCCCCTTTCCCTCCTCTCCAGTGTCTGTCCTCACTTCACCTATCCCAAAGCCAAGACCCACTAAATTTCCAAGACGTGGTTTAAATATCTTCAGGCACCTTTCCACTGTATTTTGGGGCACACTCCTGCCAAATCCACTCTTGTAATCTACAGGGTGTGGGACTTTAGCTTTGGGAATATTCGCTCATCCCACCCCTACTGGGGCACTGCCAATGTCAGGAAGGAACCCAACCTTGGTGTTTTTTCCTTTGCTACACTCTAAATGGAGGGGATCCCCCACTTTTTTCACTGAAATCCCCCCAAAATATGTCTCAGAATATCCAGGTTGCCCAGGTTCAGTAAGACAGGGCTCCCAGACCCTCTGGCTGGATAATACCTTTTTCACCAAGTCCCCCCCATGTCTAGTAGCATAGAATTCTAGCGGCCAAGACCCTTTCTTCACCTTCACACCCTCCGCTCCTTTTGAAGTCACCTCCAAATCCACCCTTCCTAGTGGATACACCAGGTAGTTGACTGGAGGGCCTTCCGCCACCTCAAAATGAGGAGCATCCGTGTTTGTTTTTGTTTTTGTTTTTTTCTCCCCTGGCTGCCCCTTAAATTTTCTTGGGGACAGCTGGTGCTGTTTAGATCCCACGCCCTCCAATCTAACCAGCCCCCCAAGAGAGGAGTGCACCCACGTTGTCACCAGTCCCCAGATGTGAACAGGCCCCCTACAAGTCAGAGCGGATCACAGCTTCCTGCTACAGGGCTTCCTCGTCCTCCCCGGGATTGCCTATAGCACCCCCTCTTCCTTTTCCCGACGCCCCTCAACCTGTCCTGTCCTGTTGATCCGGCGACGGGTGGCGCTGGCTTCGGCTCCAGGCTCCTCCCTCCCTGTCCCCCGCAAACGGAGCTTCCCCCCACGCCCGGCTAGGCGTCCCGGACCCTCGGGAAGGAGTGAGGGTGTCTCTGCAGAGCTCCCCGGTCCGGCGAAGTCAGAGCACTGGGCCGGTGGCTGGACCAGGCAGAGCGGCGGCAGCGGCAGCGGCTGTGGGAAGCTGAGGCGGCGGCGGCGGCGGCGACAGCAGTTCCCCCTCCTCGGAGAGCCGGCCCGGGGGCGGGGCAGGGGGCGGAGACGCTGGGAAATAGGAGGGTGAAGCCGGGCAGGAGGAACCCCGGGGTTCCTTGGAGGTAGAGAGTGCGGACTGTGTCTTACAAGCAGGCAAAGCCGAGGCAAGGCCGCACGTCTCAGCCTTCAGAGGAGGAGGGACAGGAAGGCCTCCTGAACGCACCCCTGGGTAGGAAGGAGAGGTTGGGCCTAAGGGAGATGGAATGGCGGACGCTGGGAGAAGGGAGAGAGACCCTACTGGCCGGGATGTTAGTGAAGAAAGAACCGCACGAGTAAAGTGGGGGAAGAACTGGAGAGATGGAGGATGGGGGGTGGTGAGATCCAGCCTTGGGCGAAATCCGGCCTCCTTCATATCTCTGCCGTTGTGTGAGCCAAATTGATCAGACCCTGGTCTCCATAACTCCTTTTCGCGTTTGGTCAGCAAATATGTTTCTCCCATTTCTATTGGCCCTTAAGAGAAATGACCAAAAGAACTGGGGACAGACGGTTTCTGGAAGCTGCCCCTGGGCGGAGTGCTGGCCACAGATGTGGAGAATAGCGAGGCTGGAATGGGGCAACTTGTGCGGGGGCAGGCGGGTGGGCGTAGAGGAGGAACCAACAGGGAGGTCTTCCAGAAGGGGGGCTTCAGGCCCAGGGCACACAGTCAGTCCCCCTGGCGAGGGGCGAGCAGGGCCCCCCACGTCCCGCT
This sequence comes from Homo sapiens, assembly GCF_000001405.40. Taxonomy (NCBI): domain Eukaryota; kingdom Metazoa; phylum Chordata; class Mammalia; order Primates; family Hominidae; genus Homo; species Homo sapiens. The sequence continues at coordinate 7,437,545 of NC_000017.11, read as the reverse complement.
CGCCCACAGAGGCACTTTCCACTGGTAGGAACAGCGTCTTTAATGGGCCCCGCCCCCCACGCCCGCCAAACCGCCCCCCTTGCGGGCCACTTTGGCCTCCTCCACCGCGGCACGGAGGGCCCGGGCCGGGTCCCCGCGGAGCCGGGCCAATTCTCCGAGCAGCGCAGCGGAGTCGTCCCCCGTACGGAGCTGTCGGCCGTTCAGAAAATAGTGAGGCAACGTCCCGGCCTCGAGCACTCGGCCGAGCTCGTCTAGCAGCCCGAGGCAGCAGGCGCCCGCATTTTCTGGCCGCGCCAGGTAGAGCGCAGGCAGCCGCTCGCACGCCCAGTACAGCAGCGTCCGCAGGAGGTAGGGCGCCGCCGCCCGGGTCCCGGCCACCAGCGGGCGCAGTAGCGCCTGGGCCGCCGCGTGCGCCTGCAGCAGCGGCGCTGGTATGCGCGCTTTGAGCGCCAGCTCCTGGCGGGCAAAACAGAGCTGCCAGGCGGAGGCGCACGGCCGCTCGGTGCCGCCACCGGGCACCAGGTAGAAGGAAGCCGACTCAGAGGCCAGCGGACCGGCCCACGAGTGGCTCCGAGCCCCCTCGGGCCAGCCCGCCACGGACACCACTGGGATCAGGTCGAAGAGCAGGAGGCGGCGAGGGGGCTCAGGGGTAGCCAGGAGGACGGTGGTGAAACCCGCGTGGCGAGCTGCGTGCACCAGACGCGGAGCACCCGGGACAGGGATCAGAGACTCGGCGACCGCCGCCAGCGTAGCAAAGAACCAGGCAGCCACCTGGGCGGAACATAATGTGGGCCACGCTTCCCGAGCCTCCGACGGCTTTGGGACTGGGCTTTCGACGGCTGCCTTGGTGACGTCACTACTCATTGTTTTCAAAGGTGCGGTAGAGCCAAGGTCGACGACGTCATGCTGAGGCGACTCGGACGCTGAAACGTCACTAGGCGATTTTTCCAAAGACACCGGCGCCTCGTGCTCAGTGACGTAGCTGTGCGGCTGGTCTACAGAGCTTTGCCAGTCCTTGGAACTTTCTTCGCTCTCCGTTCGGTGGATCGAATCACGTGCTCCTGGGACTGGGGGTCCTAAGCAATCCTGCCACATCTCCCGGATGGGGGTTCCGCACACCATCTCTGGGAGGCAGACCTGTGCGTAACAGGATTCCAGGTCCAGTTGCAGTTCAGTGCCGTCCAGTGAAAACATGGGCACTAGGAGTGTGAAGCCGGCATCGTAGTGAGGTCCCCGGGCGTAGGGACCCAGGGGTGCATGCCCCAGATCCAGGGAGCCCTCGCGAATCCCACCACGAAGCAGCAAGAGCTCTGCCTGGGGAGGAAAGCGAGGGTCCCGGCGGTGAACTAGACCTAAAAAAAGGGAACGGATCGTGAGGGCGTCGCCCAAAGCCGGGGCGGGGGCGGGGGCGTGGTGAGGCTGAGAGCTGTGAGTTCCCAAAGGCAAGTAGGGTTACTTACCAAGCAAAGAGAAGACAAAGTCCTTGGCCCGGAGGAGATCGGCTCCCGGCTTGGGCCCGTCACTCCAGCTCTCCTGCACACCCAGCTCCTGGATCAGCTGGGTCAATTCCTGCAGCTGCGCCCCGGAGCAGAAGTCGATGTCCGTGAGCGGCCGAGCTGGGGCCGGGGGCGGCGGGCCCCACCAGGGGGCACTCCCCCAGACTGCGGAAGCCATGCGGTTCTATCGCTTTGGGCTGCGGAAAACACGGAAGGGAGGTGGCTTTGCTGCCACAAAGTCGTCCCCGTTCTTCCCTCTTCCTGAGGCCGAGCGAGTGCCCCAGACACAACCTACAAATGGGTCTGTAGATGATGGGTTCTAAATTTAGTCCTCAAAATGAACAAATAAATACCTCTTCTATCCTGGCCCTTTTCTCATAGGCAGGTCCCCGCCCCCATGAACTGGTTCACCGGACTCAGCAGGTAAAAAGTAACTGTTGGCTCCTCCTACGGAATGCAGTAGCCAGCCTCCGCTGCCGCCCCTTGTCTACCTCCCTTTACCTCTTTTTTGGAAGAGGCTTATTAGTCTGCGGCTTCCCCCTTATGGGAAGCAGTAAGGGTGGGGAGCAGAAATAGATTCAACAGGTTACTTCTTCCTGATGCCCACGTGGCCACGCCCCTACATTTTCAGCCACGCCCCTTTCTGGAGGCTGTCGAGGTGGTTTCCGCCGGGTCGGGTCGCCAGTCAGAGCTCAATCACTCTTTTGGCCCTGCTGAAATCCCGCGTTATCCTGGGAGTTGTAGTTTCCCGCTCTACTAGGGCGTGGTAGCCACGCCCCCACATCCTTTCCTGTTCCGCTGAAGTAGTGCCTGATGGAAGTTGTAGTTCCTCTGGAGACAGATTATTCTGTGTCTTTTCACACCCATATCAACCCCACTCAAACATTCCTTGGGGTTTGAGAGGGGTAATAGGATGGCTCTGAGTCGCAAAAAATAATGAGGGATGGGCCGGGCGCGGTGGCTCCCGCCTGTAACCCCAGCACTTTGGGAGACTGAGGCGGGTGAATCACCTGAGGTCAGGAGTTCAAGGCCAGCCTGGCCAACATTGCGAAACCCTGTCTCTACTAAAAATACAAAAATTAGCCGGGCGTGGTGGCAGACGCCTGTAATCCCAGCTACTTAGGAGGCTGAGGCAGGAGAATCACTTGAACCTAGGAGGGAAAGGGTGCAGTGAGCTGAGATTGTGCCATTGCACTCCAGCCTGGGTGATAAGAGCGAAACTCCACCCTAGGGCCTGGGGAGAGATAGGGACCCCTGCCTGGGTGGGGTGGGGGGGGTGCATCTTGGAATCCCAAAAGTGGTAGTGTTAGGCAGGAGCACACAGATGGTGACCCAGAAATGGACGTTTGACTCATAGGAGAGACATACATGTTAGTGATGCCCACCTCAGCTCACTGCTACCTGAGTCGTGGCAGGGAAAACACTTTGGGATCTCAAATTTTTGTTTTGTTTTGTTTTGTTTTTGAGACTGAGTCTCGCACTGTTGCCCAGACTGGAGTGCTGTGGCGCAATCTCCGCTCACTGCAACCTCCACCTCCCGGGTTCAAGCAGTTCTCCTGCCTCAGCCTCCCGAGAAGCTGGGATTACGGCGCCTGCCACCATACCTGGCTAATTTTTTGTATTTTTAGTAGAGACAGGGTTTCACCATGTTGGCCAGGCTGGTCTTGAACTCCTGACCTCAGGTGATCCTCCCACCTCGGCCTCCCAAAGTGTTGGGATTATAGGCACGCGCCACTGCACCCGGCCTGGGCCACGACTTCTTACATTCCTTCTGCCCTTGGTCTGTCTCCAGGACGGGATAGGCCTAAGTCCATGGATAAGATAATTAAGGAGGACATCTAGGAAAATTAGAGGCCTGTAAAAGAAGAGACTCCCCAACTGTAGAGATCAATTTGGCAAGCCCAGGACTCAGGGGTTCCTCGTCACTGACAGAGAGTTTTCTCCTTCAGCAACCAGAGCTGGGGTCCCTGGGAGAAGCGAGAGCACCAAAGCAGCCCAGAACTGCGCAAGTAGGTTCCCGTACACACACATCTGGCTGTGACCCAAGAGGCCAGATCAGGAGAACTGGAGACTGGGCTGTTTCTCACAGTCTGGAGTAACCAGGCATCAGACATCCCTGCATCTCACCTCCTTCCCAGAGGGTGGCTTCCGAGGCACTCTAAAAAGAACTAAGTTCTCTGGACTCTGTGGAAGCTTTGAAGATGTTAAGAATGGGTGACAAGGAATAGTTCCTCTAAACTCTAAAGCATGGCTCTCCAATATAATTTTCTGTGACGATAGCAATGTCCTGAGTTGGTCCTGTCTGATACAGTAGCCACCAGCAGCCACCTGTGGCTGTTGAGCACTTGAAATGTAGATAATGTGGCCAGGCGCCCTGGCTCACGCCTGTAATCCCAACACTTTGGGAGGCCGAGGCGGGTGGATCACTTGAGGTCAGGAGTTCGAGACTAGCCTGGCCAACATGGTGAAACCCCATCTCTACTAAAAAGACAAAAATTAGCTGGGCGTGGTGGTGCACGCATGTAATCCCAGCTACTCAGGAGGCTGAGGCAGGAGAATCGCTTGCTTGAACCTGGGAGGCAGAGGTTGCAGTGAGCCGAGATCGCGCCATTGCACTCCAGCCTGGGTGACAGAGCGAGACTCTGTCTCAAAAAAAAGAAAAAAAGAAAAAGAAAAAAAGAAAATGTAAATTAAAATTAAACAAAATTTAAAAATGTGTTCCGCAGTAACATCTACTTTTTTTTTTTTTTTTTTTTTTGAGACAGAGTCTTGCTGTGTCACCGAGGCTGGAGTGCAATGGTGCGATCTCGGCTCACCACAACTTCCGCCTCCCAGGTTCAAGTGATTCTCCCTGCCTCAGCCTCCCGAATAGCTGGGATTACATGCGTGTACCACCATGCCCGGCTAATTTTTGTATTTTTATAGAGACGGGGTTTCACCATGTTGGCCAGGCTGGTCTCGAACTCCTGACCTCAGGTGATCCGCCCACCTCGGCCTCCCAAAGTGCTGGGATTACAGGTGTAAGCCACTGCACCAGGCCTAATATACATTTTAATAGCCACATTTGGCTAATGGCTAGTGTATGGGACAGAGGAGCTCTAGGGCCTTGAGGATAATGGGCTTAGCTATGCAGCTATGGAGGAGAAACAGGGACCTGTCCTCAGTGGCTTTGTGGGTGGCCAGTATCGGGGATGGGCTGGGGTGGATGTCCTCAAACAAACACAGAACATTTCTCTCGCCTCTTTATTCCTGATGCACTTTTGTCCCCTCTTTGTCCAAGGTTCTCATCACATTCTGATATCCCCACTCCTTGATGGTTTCCCCGAGTTGCTGGGTGCCTCTTGATGAAGGCGCCTAGGAGACAGAGCTTCACACTTGTCCTTGCCCACTGCCAACCGTCTCTGACGGGCATCAAAAACCACATGCCCTGCCTGGGTGCCTGGTCCAGGGCAGTGGGACTTCCAGTTGATATGGGTAGGCATAGACATCTGACGATAGTTCTGGTAGCCTGAAGGAACTGTATCCACAGGGCGGTACGCCCCGTGCTGGCTGCCTGCCCGCCAGGAGGATGACTGCAGCTCAATTAATACAGGTACCTCTGAGAAGGTCTGCAGGTCATTGGAGACCACTTGGGCCTTGGAAGGGCAGGAGTTCTCATTGAGTTGGACACGAGCCCAGAGGACGTGCCGCTGTGCGTCCTCCTTCTGAGCAGCCTTCTCAGGCACAGATGACTTCATCAGGGACAGTGTGGACTTTGGGGTCTGAAGCAGGGACAAAAGCTGGACAAAATCAGAACCTAGGGCAGGGCTTGGGTTCTTGTAGAGGCTGGGATCTGGGATGAGGCATGAGCTCTTGTAGGGGCCAGATTCCTGGGTAAGGCCTGAAATCTTGGGGAGGCCAGAGTCTTGGACAAGGGCTGGGTCTTTATGGGGGCCAGGATCTTGATTAATTCCTGGGCACTTGTGGAGATTAGAGTCTTGGCTATGTTCTGAGCTCCTGTAAACTCCAACATCTTGGGGAAGGCTAAATCTTCTTTCAACTTTAGTGGCTTGGGTAAGGCTTGGGAGGTTGGAATCTTGAGTAAGGCCTTTAACTTTGTGGCCACCACAATCTTGGATAAGTCCTGGATTCTTGTAGTCTCCTGAGTTTTGGGTAAGGCCTGAGCACTTTGGGAGGCCAGAGGTTTGGACAAGGCCTGGGCTCTTGTGGAGAAAAGATTCCTGGATAACTCCTGAGCTCTTATTGACTTCAGAGTCTTGGGGAACATACGGACCCTTCTGTGATCCAGAATCTTCAGTAAGGCCTGCGGTACTACAGACTCCTGGATCTTGGACATTGCCTGTATTCTTGTGACCTCCAGAATCTTTAGAAGAGCCTAGGTTCTTTTGGTGGTCAGTTGCTTGGGAGAGATCTTGATTTTTGTAGATCACAGTCTCTTGGTTTGGTTCAAGATTCCTATAGATTCCAGAGTCTTGTGTAAAGCCTGAGCTCCTCTGAAGATCAGAAGTTTGGGTAAATGGTGTTTTCTTGTGGAGGCCAGGGGATTGGGTGAGACATGGGCTCCTAAGGATACCAGCTTCTTGAGTCAGACCTGTGTTCTTTTGGGGGTGGGAATCTTGAGTAATGCCTGAATTCTTGTGAAGACCAAAGTCTTGAGAAGGGCTTGGATTCTGGCAGAGATAAGAATCTTGGGGAAGGCCTGGGAACTCATGTAGGCCTTGATTTGGAGCAAGACCTGGGTTCTCGTGGAGGCCTGGATCTTGGGTAAGGCCTGGGTTCTTGTAGAGGTCTGGGTTTTGGGCAAGGTCCAGATTCCTGGGAACTCTGGAGTCTTTTGAAGGGCCTGGGGTCCTTTGAAGGCCAGAATCTTGGGTAAGGCCTAGACTCTCATGACATTCAGGGCATTGGGGTTGGATCAGGGGTTGGGAAATGGTGGCGAACAGGGAAGGGATGGGGAATTGGGAAGTGAGGATGGACTGAGGAGACTTGGAGGTTGGAAGAACAGTAGGGGTTTGTATTAAGGTGGAAGGCCTCTGATGGTTGGTGGGTTGAGGAGGGACAAAGGATCTGGGAGGAACGAGAGGCAGGGAAAGAGTGAACGGTGGAGGAAGGGTGCACACTGAGCTCTGGGCAGTGGTTGCAGAATGAAAGCAAGTCTTGGCACATGCAGTATCCCGGGAGTAGGCAAGGAATTTGGGGTAGAATGGAGCCTGGGAGTCTGTGTTCTTCTCAGAACTGCAAGGATGGAAGCTGCAGTAAGGGGAAGTCTTGGTCTGGGGGAACTTATCTTTGGCATCATCTGAGTTCTTCCATTCCATATTCCTCAACTCCAGGTAGCCCAGTATGGATCCTGCAGGAAGCTTGGCACTATCCCCACTGCATTGCTTTGTTTGCTCAGATATGCCAGAACTCACCAGGTCCTGACCCTCTTGGGGCCTGAAGAGGGTAGCCAAGTCTTTTCTTGAATACTCAGGGTTCTGGGGGCTGGACATATGGAAGAAATTCTGCTTTTCCCTGCGGGCATCATAGACCACATGGCCAGTGGAGAGGTCATGGCTGAAGGCAGGTGGGGTAGAGGGTATAGGAGTTATGATAGGGGCAGGGGTGGTGGCAGGGACAGGATCAGGGACAGGAGTGGTAGTCAGGGCCATGACCAGTGCTGGAGCAGGGCTGGGGGCAGAGGCTGGGACAGGGGCTGGTGTTGGAGCTAGGACAGGAGTAGTGGCTGGGGCAAGAGTTCCGGGAGGAGCTGGGGCAGAGGTTGGGACAGGAACGGAGCTGCGGACTAGATGAGAGTGGTCTGGGATATACGCTGGGGCATGGGCTGAGGTGTACTCAGGGGCATGGGCCTGGGGGTGGGCTGGGACAGGCATAGGAGCCTGGGCTGGGGAGTGGGCTGAGGTGTGTTCAGGGCTGTGGGCCTGGGAGTGAGTATACTCAGGGGTGTGGGGCGGAGAGTGGGTTTGGGCCTGGGCTGACGTATGGGCTTTAGTGTGAGCTGAGGCCTTGGCCGGTGTAGGGGCTGGGGTGTGAGCTTGGATGTGGGCTGGCGTCTGAGCTGGGGTAGGGGCTGAGGTGTGGGCTTGGGCCTGGGCTGAGGTGTCCTGGGCCTGGGAGTGGGTGCCCTCAGGGGTGCGGGCTTTGGAGTGGGTCCAGGAGTGGGCAGGGGTGTGCACAGCGGTGTGGTCCGTGGAGCGGGTCCAGGGGTGGGTTGGGGTGCACACAGGAGTGTGGGTTGGGGAGTGGACCTGGGCCTGAGCTGGGGCCTCGGCTGGGGCACAGTCTGGGGTCTTAGTCTTGCTCTCTTGGGGCAGGTGGCATGGACCCGTGTCCAACTTGCTCATCTTTGGGAACTGGGAAGATGTCTCTGGCCTGGAGAGCAAGGAGGCTTGAGCCTTTGAGGCTGTGACCTGAGGGGCTTCTCCCCCGCCCATCATCCCCGCCTTGTACAGTCCCCGTGCAGACTCCCTGGGAACGCCGGCATGTCCACATTTAGGGGGCACGCAGCAGCACGCAGAAACCTTCTCATCGTTCGTGTCTGGTATCCAGGAGTCAAGGTGGTTAACGCGCCTGAGCAGGAAGCCTGGGCGAGGATGGACGCGGGAAGAGACTTTTGAGCACAGGTTCTTGGGATCCACGGAGGAGCAAATACATATGGGATGGCTGCCGCTGGGCTGCTTGTCTGCAGGGAGAGGTAGGATGGGGACAATGCCCGGGTTCCCTAGGGACTAAGAACTGGGCCAGGGATAGGAGAAAGGGGACAGGCCCATATCCCTGGGAGCCCATACAGGGGCCCACTCACCTTTGGGGAAAAAATGACGGAAAAGAATCCGCAAGGAGCTCTTCAGATGCTTCCAGAGCTGAAGGGAGTGGGAGGGCAGGTGAGTCCGGAAGCAGGGTGAGCCCCTAAGTCCAACTCTTATCTGGCCACACCCCAACAGCCCTCCCACCTCAGCCCCTTCAAGACCCCAGGGCTCCCCCAACCCTGCTACCCAGATCCTGCCCTGACCAGAGTCACCACATTGATCCACACGTTGAGCAAGATGAAGCTGCCCAGAAGAAGAAGAATCGAGTCTCCTAAGTCCTGGCACTTCCTGGGGTTGGTGCCAGAGCACACCTGGGCCCCATGATAGGCTCGCTCACCCATGGCCTGGGGTCCCAGGACTGCCTAGGCCCCCGGCCCTCACACAGTCACTAGGAGCAAGACTCCTGTTGTTGGGGAGGGGGTGGACTGAGTCATAATGAGGCAGGTGGTCAGGGTCACAATGAGGAACGTCGAGGAAGAGGAGGGCCCAGGGTGGAACTCTCTGGTAACCAGGTTTGAGTAACCAGGTATGGACAGGCAAACAGGGTCTGGAAGCCAGTGACCCTCTCCTGTTTCTCCATCGTTCTCTACTGCTGGGTGACTCACTCACTCTCATTCCATCACTCCTGCAGTTTCTTTCTTTCTTTCTTCCTTTTTTTTTTTTTTTTTGAGATGGATTCTTGCTCTGTCATCCAGGCTGGAGTGCAGTGGTGCGATTTCGGCTCACTGCAACCTCCGCTTCCCAGGTTCAAGCGATTCTCTGCCTCAGCCTCCCAAATAGTTGTAGCTGGGACTACAGGCATGCACGACACCTGGCTAATTTTTGTATTTTTCGTAGAGATGGGGTTTCTTTCTTTTTTTTTTTTTGAGATGCAGTCTCACTCTGTCACCCAGGTTGGAGTGCAGTGGTGTGATCTCAGCTCACTGCAACCTCTGCCTCCCGGGTTCAAGTGATTCTCCTGCCTCAGCCTCCCGAGTAGCTGGGACTACAGGTGCCCACCACCACACTCAGCTAATTTTTTGTATTTCTTTAGTAGAGACGGGGTTTCACCGTGTTAGCCAGGATGGTCTCAATCTCCTGACCTCGTAATCTGCCCACCTCAGCCTCCCAAAGTGCTGGGATTACAGGCGTGAGCCACCACGCCCGACCAAGACAGGGTTTCATCATGTTGGCCAGGCCGGTCCCGAACTCCTGGCCTCAAGTGATCCGGCCTCCTAAAGTGCTGTACAGGTGTGAGCCACCGCACTCGGCCACTCCTGCAGTTTCATTTCAGAATCCTGAATCCTTTACCTCTTGACCACACCAGAGACTGGGGAGACCTCCGCCTCAGAGCCTTGGGGAAGGCATGGCTGGAATCCAGAGCCTTGGCCTGGTCCTGTACCATGTGCTAAGTAAATCCCAAAGAGCTCCACTCAAGACACTGAGTTCAGAATCCAGACCTGATCCTTGCTGGAAACAGGGAGAATAAAGAGCCTGGGTGGTTGTCGTCAGCCAGTGCAAGAGCTACGTAGTGCATGGTGCAGACTAGGAGGGCCTGCTGGCAGCCGCGTGGCCACTAAGCCAAGGGGTGCCTCACACCAAGAAGGGGACACTGGTTTCTCATTTCAGGAAGCCAAGGGCAGGGACCCAGGCTGGCCGAAGGAGTGGCACTCCCACGCTACAGACCACCACAGTGTTTCCTGGACTCTGTTTCTCTTTATTCCTCTCCCTCCATGCCCTGCCCCACACCCCACATCCGCCTGCTGGTCAGTTGAGTTTCTCGGTCTGGCTCCTGTGCAGAGAGGGCCTCAAGGTGGAGGTGGAAGCCGGTGGCAGTGAGCTGGACCTGGCTCTGCTCTTCTGCACCTGCCGCTTCAGCTCCAGGCTGTCGTACACCTGGTAGTTGGCATTGCCCCCTGGATTCCGGCTGAGTGGGACAAACATGGTCGGGGGAGGGGCAGGGTCCGCAGCCTGGACTTTGGGCCAGGGCTGGGAGGAATGGGGGACCAGCACTGAGCTTGGAGCTGGGGTCCGTTGATGGGAGGCCTCGTCCAACACCGTGAGGGAGGCAGAGGTAGTCAGAGGACGCCAGGCGGGCAGAGCCTCAGCCCAGTCAGCTGCCCGACGCCGCACCTCACGGGGGTCCTGGGAGCTGTAGCCCAAGGGTTCCGTGGATGGGTGGGGACTGCGGTGGGACTGGCCATAGGCGTGACCAAGCAGGCTCTGCTGGTGGGACTGTGGGGAGTGGTGCTCCCGGCAGCCCTGGGCCTCAGGCCGGGCGTTCCGGGACACCGAGGCAGGGGGGCGCTCAAAGCCCTCCGTGCCACGACGCCGCTGATCCCAGGAGTCATACAGCATCCAGCCCACTGAGGGGTAAGGGCTGTGCCCCACGGGGACCCAAGAGGGGTTAGGGGGCAGCCGGTGGGGAGGTGGTGGAGACGAGGCCCACTGCTCAGCCTCCACATTGCCCCACAGTCGGGATTGGGAACCGTGGCGCCCATAGGACTGCAGCCTCAGCTCAGACCTGGCCTCTACACGCTTGGGCATGCAGCGCAGCTCAGGTGACAGGTAGAGAGAGGGTGGTGGCAGACTGGCCAGGATACCACCCTGGTGGCCCCACAGCCCCACATTGGAGGGCAGGCCCGCTCTCTGATAAAACCCGCCCCAGCCGCGACGTGGGTACTTGGGATACGGGAAGGGCAGGTTGTCCTCCTCCTCCAGGTAGGAATCCGGGTCCTCCTGATCAAAGAAAGGCACTCGGTGTAGTTGTGACATCTTTTGGCTGCGATGTGGGTTACGGAAGACTGAGTGGCTATGGGGGATTTGTCTGTAGTTCTGCGGCCGCTGCTGGTGGTTGCAGCAGCGACGGCGACAACGGCGGTGGCGGCGGCGGCGGCGACGAACACAGCGAAGAAGACTGCTACTGTGATGGTTGGAGAAATGGTGGCAGGAGAAAGAGGAGTACTGCGTGGGTCGGGACATCTTCACCTGCACAGGGTCCAGGATGCAGTGGATGTGGACATCCTGAGCCTTGTCTGGGGGACCACTTGGGGGACTTTCACTGGCCTGAATTTCATCTGGGGAAGGCAAGAGTCCATGAAGTCAGGGCAATTGTCAGAAGAGCTCAAGGTTGGGAACACTGGGGCCTGGGTTTCTAGGGCCATTGTCAGGGGTGGGGATGGGGGTCCCCTACCTCTCCAGCAGCCACACTTACTTTTCTGAGTAGCCCAATCAATCATCTTGTCTAAGGCGTTCTGGAGTCCATGCCACATCTGGGGCAGGGTGGAAGAGAGTGAAGGCCAGGCCCTCCGCGCCCAGCACCACCACCCCTGCCCCCGCCCCAATCTAGACCGCACCTGCAGGTGGAGATGTAGGCTGCAGCTGGCTCCCACCCTTGGCCCTGTTCACCCCCAGAGGTAGTCCACAATCATCACTGACCATAGTTGCCACGTTGATGCCAATGTTGACAAGAACGATGAGGCCCAGCAGCAGGAGTAAGATGTCCTCGGCATCGTGGGGGCTTTCTTGGTATTGATTGCAACATCTCACGGTGTTATGCCATAGCTGGTTTTCCATGGAGGGGGGGTCCTAGGGCCACCTGGGCCACCCCCCTCTGCCCCCCACCCCCGGCCCCAACCCACACTGCACTCATGCCAATCCCCGGAGATAACTACAAGCTGGTAAGGGAGCCAGGTCACAATGAGGTGAGCTAGCGAGAGTCACAATGTGGAGGTGGCAGCTTTTATCCATTCTGCTGGCCCCTTCTACCGCCATCTCCACCCTTGGCTCCTACTTGGTGGAGCCTGGTCCCCACATATCCCAGATCTCAGTCTGTTCCTCTATCTCCACGAGGTTTGCTTAACCCCACAGCTGGTTCCTGAGCTGAAGATAGGGTAGTTAGAGGCTGACACGGTCGTCACAGGGTTGAAGCATGCATCAGATATGTCCTGTTTCATTGTTCTTTTGAGACATTATGGCAACTTACATAGCCTGTTGGCGTGCCTTGCCCCATGGTTACTTTGGGGCCAGCATCTAGGGTGACTAGATGGGCGGGTGACACTGCGTCCCCTCAGGCATCACCCTGCTGTACCAGCCCCTCCCTACTCTGCCCATTTCCCTGTCAAAAGTCCTCTAGCTCCCATCTCTGCCCAATTCTTCCTGGCCAGACTCCAGCCCTAGGTGTTGGTGGTCCTTGAGCCCACCAGCCACTTCGTCACACTGACATCTGACTCACTGAGGTGGCTGCCTCTGCTGGGAACCAACCCCAGCCATGGTTTCTCCAACCTAACCACCTACACTCCCACCAACCCACCCTTACTCCAAGGTGAAAAACGGTTAAGCTACTACCTGAAGAAAACCCGAGCTGGGCGCGGTGGCTCATGCCTATAATCCCAGCACTTTGGGAGGCTGAGGTGGCTGGATCACCTGAGGTCAGGAGTTCCAACCTGGCCAACATAGTGAAACCCCGTCTGTATTAAAAATACAAAAATTAGCTGGGTGTGGTGATGCGCGCCTGTAGTCCCAGCTACTCGGGAGGCTGAGGCAGAAGAATCATTTGAACCCAGGAGGTGGAGGTTGCAGCAAGCTGAGCTCTCGCCATTGTACTCCAGCTTGGGTGACACATCGAGAATCTGTCTCCAAAAAAACAAGAAAGGAAGGAAGGAAGGAAGGAAGGAAGGAAGGAAGGAAGGAAGGAAGGAAGGAAGGAAGGAAGGAAACTTGCTGGGCGCAGTGGCTCACGCCTATAATCCCAGGCAGGTGGACCACCTGAGGTCAGGAGTTTGAGACCAGCCTGGCCAACATGGCGAAACCTCTACTAAAAACACAAAAATTAGCTGGGCATGTTGGTGGGCGCCTGTAATCCCAGCTACTTGGGAGGCTGAGGCAGGAGAATTGCTTGAACCTGAGAGGTGGAGGTTGCAGCGAGCCAAGATCGCGCCACAGAAGTCCGGCCTGGGTGACAGAGTGAGACTGTCTCAAAACAAACAAACAACCCAACAACAACAACAACAACAACAAGAAAACCACATGAAATTAACAAAGCACAAAATACATGTAATTGTTAATATACCAAAAAGAGTGTTTGACTTAAAACAGGTGCATCACTGGGGTCTGTGGTGCCCTGGAGACTGCAAGCCATTTGTTTACACAGTGAACCACTCAGCAGAAAGAAAGGCCAGTGATCATATCCCATCCAGCCTCCAAACACAGAGTAGATGCAGAGTAGATTCAGATTCCACTGAATGGAATCCATTGAAAATGATCAGTAACGTTAGTTGAATGAGAGAAGTAGGGCCATTTGTAAACGGTCCGTCTGCTCACATTCCAGGAATCTGTCTAGAGTGGAAGGTGAAGTCCAGCTCCCTCAGCCTGGGCTCACGCACACAGCTGCTTGTTCTCAAGTGGTATGTGTGTGCATGTGCATATGATCCCAATTGTGTAGCAGAAAGGCAGGGCCTGAGTTTCTCTGTTTCTCAGTTTCTGAGTTCACATGGTGAACTGGGGAAGGTGGGAGGTTCTGGTGGGTCAGGCTGGCTCTGCAGCAATGGGATGGAGCATCTGAGGCCATGAGCTTGATCCTCAGTGTCTGTGTAACCATGAGCAAGACCCTTAGCTTCTCTGAACTTAGTCTCCTCACTGGTGACATGGTGAGTTAATCAAAGGAGTGAGGTCACAGAGAGCTGTGATGTTACAGTGAGGTACCTCTTGAGGGGGGCCCCAATATTTCTCTTCTTTTTTTTTTTTTTTGAGATGGAGTCTCGCTCTGTTGCCCAGGCTGGAGTGTAGTGGTGCAATCTCGGCTCACTGCAAGCTCCGCCTCCTGGGTTCACACCATTCTCCTGCCTCAGCCTCCCAAGTAGCTGGGACTATAGGCGCCCACCACCACGCCCGGCTAATTTTTTGTTTTCATATTTTTAGTAGAGATGGGGTTTCACCATGTTAGCCAGGATGGTCTCAATCTCCTGACCTTGTGATCTGCCCGCCTCGGCCTCCCAAAATGCTGGGATTACAGATGTGAGCCACCACGCCCGGCCTTTTTTTTTTTTTTTGATGGAGTCTCGCTCTGTCGCCCAGGCTGGGGTGCAGGGGCGCCATCTTGGCTAACTGCAACCTCTGCCTCCCACGTTCACACCATTCTCCTGCCTCAGCCTCCCAAGTAGCTGGGACTACAGGCGCCCACCATCATGCCCAGCTAATTTTTTTATTTTTTATTTTTCATTTTTTAGTAGAGACGGGGTGTCACTGTGTTAGCCAAGAGGTCTCGACCTCCTGACCTCGTGATCCGCCCGCCTCGGCTTCCCAAAGTGCTGGGATTACAGGCGTTAGCCACTGCGCCCAGCCAAGGGGGCCCCAATATTTCCTCCTCTGCTCCAATCCTGCTTAAGGGTATAGGACCTTCAGGGTGACTGGGGAACTGTGAAGGACTAGACGCCCTCTCAGCCATCCCTCCCCAAATAAATCAGGGCTTACGTGGGAACCAGGCCTCACCGGTGGCTGCAGCCTAACGCTGGGCTCTGGCAGGCACCAGCCTTCTGAGGAGCTAGGGCCATGGAGATGGAGATCTCTCCTCTAGTGCACGACTGCCTGGGGACCTGGGGTAGAATTTAGGGGCTTCTCTGTGCACTAAAGAAAACAAGGAATTAACTGGGCGTGGTGGTGCCTGTTGTCCCAGCTACTCAGGAGGCTGAGGCAGGAAGACTGCTTGAGCTCAGGAGGTTGAGTCTCCAGTGAGCCATGATTGCACCACTGCCCTCCAGCCTGAGTGACAGATCAAGACCCTGCCTCAGGGGAGGGGGAGGAAACAGTCCGGGCACAGTGGCTCACACCTGTAATCCCAGAACTTTCAGAGGTTGAGGCAGGCAGATCGATTGAGCCCAGGAGTTTGAGACCAGCCTAGGCAAAGTAGTGAAACCCAATCTCTACAAAAAATAGTGGTGCGGCTGGGGTGGGGTGGCTCACACCTGTTATCCCAGCACTTTGGGAGGCTGAGGCGGGCGGATCACCTGAGGTCAGGAGTTCAAGACCAGCCTGGCCGACATGGCAAAACCCCATCTGCACTAAAAATACAAAAATTAGCAGGGCATGGTGGCACACGCCTGTAGTCCCAGCTACTCAGGAGGCTGAAGGCAGGAGAATTGGTTGAACCTGGGAGGCAGAGGTTGCAGTGAGCCAAGATTGTGCCATTGCAGTCCAGTGTGGGTGACAAGAATAGGACTCTGTCTTAAAAACAAAAACAACCCCCCCCACACAAAAACCAACCAACCGAACAAACAACAACAACAACAACAAACTAGTGGCCCATGCCTGTAGTCCTAGTGACTCAGGAGGCTGAGGTGGGAGACAGTTGGGACTGCAGTGAACTGTGATTGCACCACTGCACTCCAGCCCGGGCAACAGAGAAGACCCTGTCTCAAAAAAAAAAAAAAATTGAAAACAAGGTAGAGGCAGGTAAGAGCCTTGGAACCCAGAAGGGCCTAGGAAAGGCTGAGGACAGGGACAGGCCTGTGGGGCAAAAGGTTAATGAGGGTCCTCAGGGCTCAGGGCCCTGTGGCTAGGGAGAGCATTCTCTTCACAGCCACAGCTTCTAGGTGCTGTGTGGGCCCTGGCACCCCAGCACCACCACAGATCACCTCCTCTCTCCTTTTTATTTTTTTCCAGTCACCTCCCAGTTAGGGAACGGTACACCCAATTCTTGCTTGTCTCCTCGGCAGTGCTGGATCCAGAGGCTAGGGGGTAGCAGCCGGACAGGGCCTCCACCTCCCGGGTCAGTTCCCGAAGCCGCCGTCTCATGTCCCGGGCATCATACACTATTCGGCCTGAGGAGCGGTGCCGGGAAAATTCAGGGATGACTGCTGGGCCCAGGGTGGGAGCTGGGACAGGCTGGTACTGAGCCGCCTCTGCCTCTGGCACCGCCCCCTCCCCACCGTTCTTGTGGCTAGGAGCCTCAGGGCTGGGAGGTGGGGGGTTCACAGGATACACATAGGCCCTTAGGCCCAGCTCGGACCATATGCCTGTTTTGAGGGGCCTTTCCTCTACGGTAGGCTGGAAGCGGATGGTCTGGGGAGGGGACTCTGGGGCATCCTGAGACCAGGGAACCCAGGTCCCCTGAGTGTGTTGGAAGCCTTCCCAGTCCTCAGGGACATCCCAGTGGTAGGAGCAGATGGCTGGGTACTGATGAGGCTTCTCGTCATCAGTGTCAGGAGCCCAAGCTACTGGGCAGTGAGCACAGCGTGTGGGAGAGCCTCGACGGCGATGGCGGTGAGCTGGGGGCGGGGACACAGTCATCATCACAGGGTCCATGGTGCACCGAAGATGGACTGCAGGAGAACTCTGCTTCTTAGGGGGCTGGGTCTGCTTTCTGAGTAATGATGACTTGGGAGCTTCTGTGGATGGGGGAGAGGTGAGACTAGTGGGGAGGCCAGCTCCTACAGGCATGGAGAGGCAGGGCCCAGGAAGGGCAGCCACACAGCTATGTTGTCTGAGAGGGGCGAGCAAGAAGGGAAGGGGCTAATTTAGGGCTGAGGCTAGAGCACTTGGTTTCTGCCCCTCCTATGTCCCAGCCCCCAGACCTCTTACCTTTCTCACAAATGGTATCATGGAACACTTGGTATAAGACACCACGGAATCGGCTCCAGAGCTAGGTGGGGGAAGACACAGTGATCCCAGGTAGGCCCTGGCCGGCAGGCCTGCCCCCCACTATCCCACCAGCTCCCTCCCATCTGGCCCCACCCTGACCAGGGTCACTATATTGATGCTAATGTTAATGCAGATGATGAGGCCCAGCAGCAACAGGACAGAGTTGCCCAGGTCCTGGCAGCTGTTGCTGTTGCAGTTGTGATACGAGGCCCACTCGGGCCTCGGCCGCTCAACCATGGCCATGGGGTCCCTAGGACCACCGGGGCCCTTACGCCCCCAGCCCACCGTGCCGACAGTGTCCACTGACTGCCTGCCTGTCCCTGAGGGTCTTGGGAGTGAACGGGTCACAATGGTGCCAGGCCACTCCCTTCCAGTGTGCCAAGGGGCTACCCTGAGTCCTGGACCCGTGGCTGACCCTCTCGCCTGAGTCCAGGCCTTGGCAGAGGCCATGCCTCTCACCTCACATACCTCTGCTGAGCTAGCTGCCTACACCAGCCCACTGGGCCTCTGGCCTGTTTGACATCTGCCCCCATCAGCCTTTGTCCTTCCATTATAGAACGACACCAGGCTCCAGTCTCGGCATAGACACGGGTCCTGACATTCATTTGCCAAACAGACCCATTACCATGGCAACCAGACCCCAGCACACACTCCCCCTTCCTCTCAGACCTCAGAGCTGGTCACTGAAAAGACCCCTCCTCCCTCGTCACTTCCCCAGGGCTTGTTTCTTTAGAGACCGCCCTCCCCACAACAGAGCAGGCACAACCAACAGTTAAACTTTTATATTTACAATATTCTCTTCATCTTTTGCCAGGTTTAAAAATGTGTACAGAGCCGCAAAGGGTTGGGGTAGGGATAAGGGATTGTCGGGATTGTTTTGGGGAGAGGAGCTGGGCATTGGAGTCCGTGGCTGAATCATGGGGTCCCCCAGCCCCCCTCCCATGCCCCAATTCTGAGGGCATCTGTCTACAGGGTTCAGGGCCCAGGTCTCTAGCATTTGGAGGGCATGGCTGTTTGGAGAGGAGCTAGACCAGGCAGGGGAAAGGATCAGAAAATAACTAATTTTCCATGGATGGAGGTAGGAAGAGAAGGGACAGTCAAGAGGCAAAGTTCTGGGGACTCAAGACCAGGGATTCTGGATTTGGGTGTCAGTGGAAGACAGCACCCCAGCCCCTATTCAAGTTTGGCACTAACACCCCACAAAATGCCAGCAGATGAGGACTCTCCCCTCGTCCACTGTGTCCCTTAAGCCCTTCCAGACATCATTCTTTTCCCAAATGCCCAAGCCCAAGGCCCTCCGGGGAGTCACCTCACACATTTCAAATTATTCCTGCTGGTGTCTGCCCAAGCCCTGTCCCCACTGCCCCCTCCATCTGTTCCCCAGCACCGCTGACCTCATTCTCCCAACCTGTCCGGTGAGACCTTTCTCCCCACTGCCTCCCTCCACCATTCAAGGCTCCTTTCTTTCAGACAAGGAGGGGGCGTGGGTCAGAGGAGGGTGGTCAGCTGAGGAGAAGGCTGGTCTGACACTGAGATGGGGACAGCTTCAAAGAGGGGGACGGAGATGAAGGGGAACGGAGAACTGAGGCAGGGTGGGGGAGACATGGTGAGGAGAAGGGGCACAGGCGGGAGCCCCCTCACCTGCCACATCCCTCGCCCTGTATCCTGCTTGCCCTTAGTTTCCCCTGCCCTGCCTGGGACTGGGAAATTCTTGGCACATTTTGGGAGTCTTTCCGCTCAAATCCACCTACCCAGTTTGGCACGGATGAGCAATGCTCTGAGGCCTGGGGAAAAGGCTGTCCTCGGACCACAATGAGGGCTTTGGTCAAACATGCGTGGCCTCTGCGGGGGGCACGTTGCCACACCCCCTCCCCCCAACTCGGGAGCAAGGGCCGGGCCTCCCTCGGGGTTTGTTCACCCTCCTCAGCTCCTGCCAACTAGAAGTCTGTGCTCACCTGCCATGTGAG
This sequence comes from Homo sapiens, assembly GCF_000001405.40. Classification (NCBI taxonomy): domain Eukaryota; kingdom Metazoa; phylum Chordata; class Mammalia; order Primates; family Hominidae; genus Homo; species Homo sapiens. Next base: position 7,418,660 of record NC_000017.11, on the reverse strand, counting down.
GAGGAACTGGGTGCTGGGCCTGAGGCCTGGGGGAGGCAGGGAAGTGCTGGGAAGAGAGGGGCCGTCTGCCTGGGGAAACACACATCCACATGCAAGAACCTGTTTCCACTCAGAGAAATGCGTCCTGGCCACGGGAAAATAAGCTTCCAGGCAGCATCAGGATGCGTGGACTCCTCCCTCCCCCAGCAGGAAATCTGTGTCTGTCCTCTCTGGAAGGTGAGGGCCTCCCCGGCAGAACGTGCTTCATCTGACTTGTGCCAAGGGGGGCGTCGGGGGGAACATGCTTCGCCGGGGTAGGGGCAAGGGAGGCAGGGGCGAGGGGGCTGTGATTTCCTCGCTGCTTCCCAGGCTCCATCCTCTGTGGTCTGGTGGCCAAGGGTCACTGTATGTGAACACACCACTTCCAGGGTCTCCAGGGGGAGGGAGAGGGGAGGAGGTGGGAGAAGGGATGGGGGAACAGGATTCTGGGGTACAAATCCCCACAGAAATTCTTTGAGGGGGCCAACATGTGTCCAGGGTGGCAAAAAAAAACCTCACCCTGCACATGGGAAAACACACCCCGTTGTGAGAAAGCACACCTCCACGCGGGAAAATACCACATTCCACACACCGAAGACTGGTGTCCCAATGGGGGGGAGAAAACGCCCCCCAGTTGTTCAAAGGCCCAGATCCAGAGAAGAGACTGGGCTTCTCTGCGTGGGAAAGACACGCATCGCAGGGAGGAATCCCATGTCCACCTTAGCGCTGCTGGATGGCGTGTGACGACTCCACAGGAGAAAAGCCAGTTGCCAAGTCCTCCTCCCTGCCTTCGGAGTGGCCGGGCCAGGGAGGGCCGGGGAGGAGGGCCTCCCCACCCACCCCCTATACCCGAGTGGTGGAGTGGGGGTGGGGTAGCGTGTTGTTGTGGCTGGTGGCGGTGGGAGGGGGCGGGGGGAAGGGCCCGAAGGGATGAAGGGAGGGGGGCGGTGGGGGTGGCGGTGGCCCCAGGCCACTGGGCAGCAGGGTCAGGGCCCCGGGGGCCAAGAGAGGCACATCGTCCGGTGCCCGGCGCAGGGCCAGGGTGTAGTCGGGCGGGCAGGCAGGGCGCAGAGCCTCGGCAGGGTCCGCCCCGACGCCACCACCCCGCTTCAGCTGCAGTGACACCAGCTCCTCCTCTGGTGGCAGCTCACGGCCCGCGGCGGGGAGCAGGGGGCCCCCACCAGGCACGCCAGAGCCTGAGCCGCCAGGTGGGCTAAGCCGCCTGCACCGCAGCTCCTGCCGCCGGTCCCGCTTGTAGTAGAGGGCAGCAAAGGCCAGGATGTTGAGGAAGAGGAGGGAGGCACCCACGGCCACGGTGACGCTCAGCTCCGTGGAGTAGTCCCGTGAGTCCCCGGGGAAGCGGTCATAGGCCCTTGGGCCGGGCTCGGGCTCGGGCTCGGGAGGCAGGGTGGCAGGCGGCGGGGGCCGGCGTGTGCCCGGGGCGCCAGCGGGGGGACGAGGCGGCCAGCGCGTGGCGTAGGGAGGCAGGCGCGTGGTGGTGGTGAAGAGCTCCGTGTGCAGGTTGTGCAGGTGGGGCACGAGCTCCAGCCAGAAGGCCACCTTGTTGGCGCGGTAGTTGTCACGCACGCGTGGCTTCAGGCCTATGTGCAGATACTGCTTCTCCTTGCTGTTGAATTTGCTCCACACCACCTCCTCGAAGCGATTGGGCTTGGTGTGGATGAACTTGGTATCCTGCGGCACCGGCTGGTTGGGGTCCCTGTGGGCACAGGAGGGCAGGGAAAGGAGGAGTGAGGGCAAGGCTCTGAAGGAGGGTGGATGGCAGTGGGCAGGGAGACAGACAGAGATGCAGAGAGACAGGGGGACAGCAAGAAAGCCAGAGAAAAAGTCACAGAGGCAGAGAGACACAGATGGATATGAAGAGACAGAGAAACTGCCTGTCTCTTCAGGCAAATAGGCAAATAGGGATGGAGACAGACTGGCAGAGACAGCCAGAAATGCGGGCAGAGGGGCAGGGACACACACAGAGATAGCCAGGGAGAAGCAGAAGCTGAGCCTGAATGAAACACAGACAGGGTCAAAGACACGGGAGGGACAGCCAGAGACAGATACACAGCCAGGCTGAAATCAGCCGGCAGCCAGAGAAAGCGAAAAGTAAGCAGACAAAAGAGAGCAGCAGAGGGAGGTGGAGAGCTGTCAGTGGATTTTCAGAGAGACAGAGACAGAAGTAGAGACACACAAACTCTTACACACACTCAGACACACACACCTGAGCAGTCAGCCAGAGATGCAGAGCCCTAGGGGGGTCGGGCAGGGGGGATCAGGCAAGGAGGAGGGAGAGACAGACGCCAAGCCAAAGCCACTGAGTGGGCCCCCAACTCCCCAGAAAGGACAGCGGCTTCTCTGTCTGATACTGCTGAGTCTCCAACGCTCAACTCCGTGCCTGGCACAGAGGTGTCTGGGTTGGTTTCACTCGAGCAAGAGGGCAGGCCAGAGTGAGTGCCTTAACAGAGGAACGGCGGCCATGTGAAGGAGGGAGGGCCCCGCCCAGCCCCGCCCAGCCCCTCTGGCCCTCACCCAGTCTTGGCGAAGTTGGTCCAGTAGGTCATGACCACGGCACTGAGCATGACGTCATTCTTGGAGAAGTTACAGGGGAAGAGGTCGGTGGCACCCACCATGGGCACGCCAAAGACATAGGGCAGTTCATCCCCGTGCGCCGCATCTGCCCACTCAGGCCGGCCCTCCGCCTGGCAGTGGTGGTAGAAGGTGTAAAAGTAGACGGGAGACTGGTAGTCGGCGTGCAGCTTGGCAGTGGCCACAGCTGGTGCCACCCATTGGTGGTCAGTAAAGAGCGCCAGCAGGGTTTTGCGGCGCATTTCGCCATTGTCCCGGTCGGCCCAGTCTGTGTACATAAACTTGATGGTCTCCCGAAGCACATCCTTGCCTTCCGGGTAGCCATACAGGTTGTCCACAAAGTTGGAGACAGTGAAGTCAAAGGCGCTGGCAGACACACCGTCCTCGCTCTCTGCAGAGTCCTCCACGAACTTGAGGCCCTCTCCCTGGTTGACGCCGATGAGCATGTCGTAGTTGAGGAATTCTCCCTGCTGCATGAGGATCTCAGGGTCATCGGGGACCACGTCGCCATCCACCACGGGCCCAAAGGCGATGTGGTAGCTGGGGAGAAGGGGTCAGGGTCTCACCACCTGCTCACTGGCCTCCTCTTGGCCTGTGGCCTGCTAAGCCCACACGCAGATGCTTCCCTCTACCTGCAAGACCCTTCTTCCCTACTTGAAATCCTCCAGTGGGTCCTTTGGGAGATCTGGCCTCTCTGGAAGTCATCCCAAAGCACTTCATGGCACCCTGTGCTCACCTGCTCTGATTGAGCACCTCCACTGAAGGAAGGCTTGCAAGAGGAGGCCACTTACTGGGGGCCAGAAGCCCATCCCTCCTTGCCAAATGGTATGCCCACAGGCACCTCTCACCTCAGCCTCCTTGGAACCTTGAAGGCCTGGACCCAGCCCTCTCCCACCCCATACCGGGCAGGCTGCACGTCCTGGTCCACCAGCTCCCGGGAGGGCTTCCGGCGCAGACACTCCACAGCTTCAGCGCTGTCCTCTCGGTCACAGCCCACCTTGGCTGCCAGCAGCCGCGTGTACTTGAGCGGCTGGTAGTTGACAGACCAGCTGGAAATGGCGGTGCCACTCTGGGCGATGGCCTTCTGGAACAGCCCTGGCGGGACAGGCAGACCTCAGGCCAGGCTGTGAGTACCGGCCTGAAGGAGAGGGGGGAGTTGGCAGGGTTGGGAAGGGTGGAACAGGCTGGGACACTGCTGGTACCTTCTGAATGGTGGGAGAGGATCAGAAGGTTGACGCAGGAGGCCCCTGCCCCGGAACCAAAGATGGTGATACGCTCGGGGTCGCCCCCAAAGTGGGCGATGTTTTCACTGAGCCAGCGCAGGGCCTGGATCTGGTCCAGGAGCCCATAGTTGCCTTTTGCAGCCTGGTCCCCGGTGCTGAGAAAACCTGGGAGTAGAGAAGAAGAGGGCTCCCTGGAGGTGTCACAGCGCCCCTGCCCCCTTTCTGGGCAGCTCAGTCCAGCCCAGAAGCCATTCTGCTGGATGTGGAGGAACCCTGCCCACCAGGCCCACCTCCCAGACTCCCCCGAGCCCCAGAGTTGGCTGCCCACCCTCACCGAGCACCCCAAGACGGTAGTTGAGCGTGGCTACAATGACGTTGCCATAGGCAGCCAGGACTGAGCCATCGAACATGTTTCCGGTCCCCTCCATGTAGGAGCCGCCATGGAGAAACAGCATCACAGGCTTCTTCCCAGGGTCACGGATATCTGTGTGGGGAGGGGTGGGCAGGTGGGCCAGGGGGTCAGGGACAAGGACACAGTCAGACCGGAAGCAGCAGCGCCCAGCTCCCAGGCCTGCTGAGGACTGGCCTGGAGCTCAGGGGACATGTCACTCCCATCCCTGGGGGGCAAGACCGGATTCCCCTCCTCCCTCCCCAGCTAGCCCTGGCAGACATTCCCTCCCCACCCTCTGCCAGCCTTCCCCGCGGCACTTCTCCAATGCAGACTTTCCAAGAAACCCCGTAGAGGCTGGGGGTGGGCAGTGGCCCTCCTTAGGGCATCTGCTGGATCCAGGGAACCCCCAGCACCCCCGCACACAGCACATCTCCTTCCTGTCCCTGGGAAGAGCAAGCTCCCGAGGCTAGAACTGGAGCTGGAGCTGCTGGGAGGGTCCTGGTGTCTCCTCCGACTCAGGCCTTGGGCCTCCACTCCACATGGCACCCTGGTCGGTGGGTGAGGGGTGCCAGGCCTAGGGTCCCTGGTCTGTGGGTGAGGGGTGCCAGGCCTAGGGTCCCTGGGGCTTGGTCTCCTCCCCGCCCTAATTCCTTTCTAGGTCACCTCCCCAGTCACCATGGCAACCCCCAGCCTAATTACTGTGGCAGGAGGAGGAAGAGCCTGCTTAATGAAGCCAGGGTGCAGCTTAGTTTTGGACACCCCCAAACTGGCCTGAGCCCTGGGTTCTGCACTGGGCTCCTTCCCGCCATACCCCCTGAGGATCCCCTGATCACTGCCACATGTGATCAGGCCCTTGAGTTGCTCCAGATTGGACTGAAGGGTGACTAATTCCAGAGGATGTGGGAGTCTGAGAGTGCTTGCCAGGGTCCCCGAGGCTACAGTATCCTCCCCTGCAGCTCCCCATGATTCAGCCATAGTGCTAGGGCTGGGGTCACCCCTGGCCCACAGGCCCTCCTCTTTCTTGACACTGGCCCTCCCTGCTAGCCTGGATACTCAGCAAACCAAAGCCAGGCCTGGGCCTCCACAGCTGGTCCCCAGCATCTCTGCCCACCTCCCTCATCCTGGTAGAAACATCCCTCCTGCCAGAAGGTCAACCTGCAGGTCACTAAGACATTCTCCTTGACCTCACAGACAGCTTCCTGCCTCCCATCCCTAAGACCCCCTGTGCAGCCCCCATGCTCCTGACTGCTTCCGCCAGAGCTTCTATGTGGGCAGCACCCTCGCTGGGTTCTCCTCAAATCCTGTCCTCTCCTTTGCTCCTGAACCTCAAGTGACCTCCCAGCACTTTCAGGCCGGAATCTCCTTCCCTCCAAGGTCCTGTCCTAATTGTCCTCAGTTCTCCCATCCTCACCCCACCCCTCTCCCAGTGTGAGGGGAGGAGGGGTCAGAAAGGGAAGGAGCAGGAAGAGGGGCTGGGGCGACAAGAATTCAAAACCAACAACAAAAACAGGATCAAGAAAGAAGAAAGAAAGAAAGAAAGAAAAAAACAACCAAAAAGCAAGAAGCTCTCGGGGCAGATTCAACAAGAAAAGAAAAAACAAAAAGATCCATTTTGGGAAAAAAGAAAAAAAGAAAAAAATTCTTTGCATTTTTTTTTCAAAATTTTGTGGTGAAACTTCAAGATATTGGGCCCTGTTTTAAAAAATTGTCAAATTCTTTAATTCACTTCGAATGTTTGCGTTTTCTGTGTCTGACAGGCTTTTGGAAATTGCGACAGGCTTCTGATGTTTCAATGGTGTCATCAATTTGCCAACTTTTAAATTTTTTTTGAACTGTTGTTTTGTTCCAATTTCAAATTGGTTTTTTCAAATGTTACATTTCACAAGTTTCAAAACTGTCCAGATTTCTTTCAAATTCTAAACATTTTAACCAATTCTTTTGAATTTTATTTTTCTGACATTCCAATTTCTTTTTGTTTTTCAGCTTATTTTCACCATGTTTAGCTTTTCTGGCAGGTTTTCTACTGGGTCCAACATTGTTCAAATTTCGTTTGAAGTTTTCATAATTCTTTTTTCCAATTATTAAACATTTTTCTTTTCTTTTCTTTTTCATTTTAGTTGGGAGAACGACTGAGGGGCCTTGAGGGCTGTGGGGACATTTAGTGAGGGGCAGGGCCATGAATGTCCTCTTATAAGCAACCACATGCAGCAGCGGGATTTTTAAATCTACCTGTGTCTGGCGGATTGAGCGTCGCCTCGTCACGTTTTTTTGTGAGCGGACCTAAGACCGGGAACACAAAACAGAGAAAAAAGGACAATTTTGTGGGGAAAGATGGGGGTCGGGGGGAGGTGGTGGATGGGGAGGGGAGGAGAGAAAGCAGAAAAGGGGAGGGTGGGGGAGGCAGAAAAAAGAAGCCAAAAAAAAGCAAAATTTGTTTGCAAGAAAAAGAAACCAAGAAAAGAGAAAAACGTTTCTACAACCCAATTTTGTTCCCCTCCCCAGAAAAAGTCATGCCCCAAAGAAAAGGCTGGTTTTGGGGGGGTGGGGTGCCTGAGTGGGCTGAGGCCTGTCTTAAGACATATCGACTTGGCTGGAAAGGTTTTGGCTTGTCGATGTGTTTGCTAATTGCTGGAAATGAAACAGTGTTAGAGGTGGGGTGGGAGGGGAGGGGAAGCCCACCCAGAGCCCCTGGGAGACCAAGGCCAGCTTGCCACCCAGGCCACCTCTCAGAAGGCCCCCTTCAGGGCCAGCGAAGCACCTGCCTGCCGCCCCCCACAAGGCTGTAGGGAGGAGAGACTGCCGCAGAAAAGACTCTGCTTCCCTCTGGACCACTCTGCAGGGCAGCGAGCAGGACAGGGTTGGGGGGCAGCCTGCCCCACAGCTCAGCCCCAGAAGCCTTCCGCTCCCCACTGGAGGGCTATGGGAAGGTCAGCTGGGGCTGCCCGCCCGCTACCCAGCCTCACCACCAGCACTTCTCGTCTATCCACACTCACAGGCCTGGCTTCTCACCCCAGCTCCCCAGTGTGGGCAAAGCAGGGAAGGGGGTCATCAGGTCTTGCCCTCCGCTCCAGCTCAACCCTCCGCACTCCCCCCAACCTCGTCCCTTACCCAGGCTTCCTCTCCTCCCCCCAAAATGGTGAATTTCCCACCAGGGCCACCAGCCGCTGCCTCCCCTGCCCCTGCTCCACTGCCAAAAAGCACCCCTTCCCCAACGGCCGAGCGGGTGGTTCAGTCCACAGATAGGGAACGAGGAACACAGTGCCCTGAGCCAGCCTGGCACACAGGTGCCAGCAGGTACCGGGAGCACCAGGTTCGCCCAGTGTCAGGGCTTCTTCCAGATTACGGGGTTGGTCAGGGGCGAGCTGGAGCCCAGAGGCCTGGGGGTTCCCCGAGGCTGATTGGTTTTTCCTCAATGGCACAGGGACTGGCACGTGGGTCAAGGCCAAGGATGGGTCAAGGCCAAGGCAAGCTCTGGAAGGCGTCTCCTAAGTGGCAGTGATGGCCCCATGGGGACCCGCTGGGAACAGGGCCTCTTCTTTGTGAGAGGATGGGGTGGGGACAAAGTGAGCAAGGCACGTGTGCACGTGAGTCTATGAAGCGCGTGTGTGTGTGCGCGCGCGCGCCTGAGTCAACCTCTTCCTCCCAGAGCTGGTGTGAAGATTCAGTGAGATCACCTGAATGTGTCAGGCCCCAGGCAGGTCTGCAATCAGCAGTGGCTAAAAATACAGAAGGTGTGGGCAAGGGTGGTGTGGGGGCAGGGGTGGACAACTGTGTGGAGGTGTTGGGGTGGACAGTCCATTGGTGACAAGTGCTGGGTGGATGTTTCACATGGAAGGTGACGAGACAGCACCCATGAGGGGGCCCTGGGGTGTGCAGAGCCTGTGTGAGAGTAGGGAGTGCTGGGATGGGCAGCCCACATGGAGGTGCTGAGGTGAAGGACTCATGATGGGGCAGGCGCTGGGATGGCAGAGGAGTGTGGTGTGCACAGCTCTTCTGTGGAGGGCATTGTACTGGGGGGCACGTGGGGCATGTACTGGGATAAATGGCTTATGGGGAACTAGGGTGCTTCAAATTTGAATAGGATTAGAGTAGATGACGCTCTGTGCATTGTGTGTATGGGTTGTGGGGAGGCGTGGTTTATATGGAGAGGGGTATGGCTGGGATGGGGGATACAGGGTGAATGGTCCATTTGCGAGGTATTGGGATGGACATGGGTGGGTGGAGGTGCATGAGATGTTCCGTGTTTGGCAGGGGGGGATTCTGAGTGCAGGGGGCATGGTGTTGGAGTACTTGTTTGGTGAGTAGGGTGCAAGCTTGCCGGATGTGTTTTCACCACCTGAGGTCCGGTGCAGATGATCTCTAGGTAGGAGTGGGGTAAACAATGATTGAGGAGTGTTGGGGATGTTGGGGACTGTGATGTGAGGGGCCTGCTGAGCACACGGCCCAGGCGCGCAGGTTACTGGATGTGTGGATGTTCTTAAGGCACGTGATCTATATCCAGGGATGCTGGGGAGCACAGGTGTGTGTGGGTGACATGGTACATAGTTTCAGAGATGTACTGGGGGTGTGTGTGATATGAAAGTACTGGGAATTGTGATTGTGGGGTGCTGGAGCACAAGGTCAGTGTACAGGTTGGTTGGGTGATGATTTAATTGTGGAGTAGTTGGGATTTGCCATCTGTTTTGGGACTTGAGCACATGCCGTGGAGGTGCTGGGTATGTACAGGGTACATTAGGAGCTCCTGGGTACCAGGCCTATGTGTAAGGTTGCTGGAAACATGGACTGTGGGAAGCGTGGTGGCAGCGGATGGTCTATACGCAGACGCTGCCATGTTTTGGAGTGGTAAGATGGGTGTCAGAAGAGCCATGCGGGGTGCAGGGGGGTGTTTGTGAGGCTGGTCTGCTGAGATGGCTGGAATCCACCTATTGCACCCTGTTCACACTCTGGAAGGTGTTCTGATTAGTCTTGGAGTGCTGAGGATGGAGGGTGGAGAACTGTCCAGAAGGAATGTGCCAGGGGCTATGAGCAGTCCTGTAGTGAACAAGAGTTCATTAAGAACAGAAATTCAAGAGCCCCAGGGAAGACGGGTGGGCTGTGCTGGCCCTCAGCAAGGAGCTTCCCTGATCCTTCAGGGGCGTACAGGGGTCAAGGGAGAAGAGAAGGACATCGGTACCACTGCCAAGGTGCTCAGCTCAGGCAAGGGGCTCTGGACATGATGTGATAGATGGAAGGCAGCCCTCACCAGCCAGGGGGAGAGGGAGAGCCTGCGTTGTCCTTGGGGTGCAGATGTAGCTAACCTGGGTATTCTGCCAGGAACAAGCCCAGGTCTGGCGGCGGGAGGCGGGGCAAGGTTGGAGTGGGTGTCTGAGCAGAGGATGGATCACCTGATTCCCCCTCCGTGGCCAGGTTGAGATTAGCTGGCAGACTGTGCCTCTTTGGGGAGACAGTGGGTGAGCCTAGTCCAGTGCCTGCCATCCCTACCATGGCCCCCCATGGGCGTAAAGAACTTATGGAGAGGCTGTCTGCAGAGTGTGTGCCTGGGACTGCCTGGAGGCACCCTTACAATCCTCAGGGGGCACGTAGAGGTTGCAGGGACACTCCGTCCCTCACTGCCCCCACAAAGGCCCAGCTCTGAGCCCTAGAGCGGTGCCAGTGCCTGAGGGTCTGCATGTGCGTTTGTGGGCTGTGTCCACGGGGTGCCCGGCTTTGTGCCCGCGCCCTTACCGTCCTCGGTGGGCACGTAGAGGTTGAGGTACAGGCAGTCCTCGCTCTGGTTCTGCACGTAGGTGGCGGCCGCCTCCAAGTTGTCGGTGAACCACACAGGCAGCATGATGGCGGGCAGCGCCCCGTGCAGGTTCTGCGGGCAGGCGGGCGGCAGGGTGGTGGCGTTGCGCACGCCGGGCCACGAGGCGGGCGCCTCAGGCGGCTGGAAGCGGCGGGCGCCCAGGGGCGGCGTGGCGTAGGGCACGCCCAAGAACTGCACGACGGGGCCCAGGATCTCGTTGTTGAGCTCGCGCCGCACACCGCGCACTCGCCCGTAGGCCGTGTTCACCACCGGGAAGCGCTCCTCGCCGAGGCTGCCGAGGCCCAGGCCGGGGCCGCCCGGGGCGCCGCCGCCGGGACCCCCTCCCCCGCGTTGAGCCCCCGCCAGCCCCACCAGACACAGCGCCAGGAGCCACATGCTGATCGGGGGACCCCCCCTCCCTCCCTGGGACCCCCCCCCCTCGGAGAGAGAGAGAAGGGGGGGAGAGGGAGGGAGGCCCCCCTCGCCCCAGGAGGGAGGAGGGGCGGGGGGAAAGGAGGGAGGAGGGGGTTGGGGAGGGACCTGGGTTAGACTGGACAGAGAAGGGGTCTGTTCCTCTCCATGGAGGGGGCACGGGGTGGGGAAGGGGAAGGAAATGGGAGAAGGTGAAGGCAGGCCCGACCTGCGGGGGGTGGAGCGAGAGGGGCAGGGAGGCAGGATACAGACAGACGGACAGACAGAAAAATACAGAGGTGGAAGAGGGCAAGGGAAATTGGATGGGGCAGACAGAAAGGAATGGGGAAACAGAAGAGACAAGTGGTTAGTGACCTGGAATTCAGACCAAGTTGCCCCCTTCTCCCACCCACAGGCCCCCTGACACCTCCCCACTCCCACCCAGCAGCCCTTCTCCCCTCAGCAGACGCCTAGGTTGGGGGTGGGGCCCAGATGTGGTTCAAGTCCAGGACCCAGCCAGAGGAGAGGCGGGTCAGCTCTCCAGACCCAGCATGCTCCCTTCCAGCTGATGTATCCCTCCCAGGCAGGTTCTCCTCAGGGACTCAGGAGTCCCAGCTCCCACCTCCCTGGGAGGGAATGAGGTAGACAAGGAAGAGAAAACAAAAATACCAAGTCATTAATTAGCTGGAAGAGGCAGGTTTGTTTATATGTGTTAATTACTCCTGAGCTGTAATTTCATGGCGCTGAACCCCCACCCCAGGCCAGACTCAGGCCTTTCTTGGGACTGCACAAACCTAGCACCTTATCCCCACTTCAACACACCATTCGCTAAGGATTTGTGCTGCCTGCGACCCCTCTCTCCCCAGACTCTCTCCATTTCCTCCGTCAGAAGTTGGGGTACCTTGAGGCTGGGGTTAGAGTAGGGAGGGGACGCTGGAGGGGCAAATCCAGGGACAGATGCGTGATCCTGCAGCCGGTTGCCGGGTGACGGGATGCTGCCCCGCAATGTTACCTCGGCAACGGGCTGCAGCTTTAACCCTGGAGGGGGGTTCTGGAGGAAGACGGGAAGGGGCTGGCTTGGTTTGGTGGTCCATTCAGGGCATGAAGGGGAGGGCAAAGGCGTGAGTCAGAATGCAAGAGTTCCCCCCAACCTTAACATAGAGGAAGAAGTATATATGTTGAGAGGAGGGGGAGATTGGGGGCACCAAGAACGCTAAAAGCCCTGCCTGTTGGCCAATCAAAGCCTAGCCTTAGTGACCAGGCCTCTGGCTTGGGAGAGGGGGTGCTGAGGTGGGCTTGAAGAGACATCACAGGAGCCTACTGACTGCCCCCCTCCAGCAATTTCAAGCAACCTTGGACCCCACCACCTTTTCATCTTTGCAAGCCATTGTGACCCATGTCCTGGGGGCAACACTGAGCTTTCTTCTCTTCCCATCCCAACCCATCCATTCACCTACCCTTCCCCTTGCCACCCCCCCTACAGTTGCTGCTCTGATGCCTGGGTGCTCAGGGCAGCAGGGGCCAGCCAAGGGAGAAGATCAGACCGGAGGGGCAGACACCCAGGTCATTTCGGCAAGCCCCCCCCCCGCCCCCCCACCAGCCGCCAGAGCTGTTTGCTGACGCGGGGTTTTCAGAGCCAGGCGCCAGCCCGCGGGTGGCTCTCTGCAGGTGTCAATTTATTCCAGAGATGAGGACACAGGAATCCTTACCACACACACCCAGTCATGCCCCCTGCCTTTCAGCTTCTCTAAGGCTCCTCTATTCCTCCATCACCTGGAGGTGGCTCGGGGCTGATTCCCCCAGGATCTCCTTTTCCTGTGCCAGACTGGGCTCAGCTACCATGGCCTTGCTGCCCCCTCCCCCTCCCCACAACAAGATCTGCCTCAGTCACCCTCTCCTCTTGAGGGTACTCTGGGCCCCTGGCCTCCTCCCACCAGCTCCGCTCCCTCCTTCCCTCCCACTGGAGGCCCCCCCATCTCTCTCCTCTCCGTAGTGCTCCCTGGGAGCATCTTTTGTGGGCCTCTTCCAGCTTGCCCCAGCTCTTGCCTTCAGTCTCTCACCCTCGGTCTTTTTACATCTTTCTCTTCTGTATCTCTCTCCTTGGTGTTTCTCATTTCTTTCTCTCTCTCCAAATGCCTTCCCCAAATTTCCCCCTTAAGCCTTCTGTCTCTCTCTCCTGTCTTTCCCCATCACTGTCTCCCCCATTTTCTCTCCTCATCTCTGTCTGCCACATCTTGCTCCCTCCTCCTTCTCCCTATCCCTCTGCCTTCTCTCTCCATTCCTGCCCAGGCCTGACTCCCCCAGCCGGGGAGAGTTGAGGGACGGGGGCTCAGGCCGCAGGCCCCCCCTTCCTGCAGTGGTGAAAATGGCTTGGCTGGGAAGGGGAGAAGGAGGGGGAGGGGGAGATGGGAACACACGGGGTCTGTGGGCCCATTCAAAGGATCATTCATGGACTGGAGAGAGGCAGAGACAAAGAGACCAAGACGCAGAGACACGGCGAGAGCATCCCTAGGCGGAGACACGCAGACAGAGCAGGCTGGGGGAAACCAGGCGCAGGGAGGGAGATGGGGAGAGGGAGACCCCAGTGGACCGCCACGCAGCCCCCTCCACCGACCCGGCTTAGGTCCTACCTGGCTCAGCCCTGGGGCCGTGGTGCCTCCATCCAGGGCTCCGAGTGGGGGGCGAAAGGCCTTCGGGAGGGGGCGGCGGCCTCTGAGCCCCCGCGGCCCCGCAGGCCCAGCCCCCGCCCGCAGCGCCTCACCCGGCGGGGGAGGGGGATCGCCCCAGCCCCGGGGGGCGGGGCCGGGATCCAGTCGATCCCCGGGAAAAGGAGAGCTAGGGGATGGGATCAGGGGGAGCCCGAGAACAGGGAACCCCGCAGTAGGGACGATAGAGAAAGGAGGGGGCAACGGGACAGGACTAGATTGAGGATCCGCTGGTTCCGTGGGCCGGCTTCGAGGGACCAGAAGGCGGTCCAGGCGGAGGATCCTAAGGATCGGGTGCTGGAGGAGGAGTCCACGTTAATCCCCAGGGGCCCGGGGCCCGGGAGCGCAGGATCCGCGGTGCAGGGGCAGGGATCCAGCCGGAATCCTCGGGGAGGGGGAGGGATCTAGTCGATCCCGAGGGCGGGCGTGAGGGGGAGGTCCGGGGAGTCAGAGGAGGGCGGGAGCCGAGTCCAGAGCCCCGGGGCGGGGGTCAGCGCGGATCCTAGGAGGGAAGGCGGGGGTGAGGGGAGGCTTCGAGGGACGCTCAGCAGCCGGGAGGCCCGGACTCCTGGCTCCGCGCGCCAGGGCCGGCCCGCCCCGCGTCCATCCCAGCCCGAGAGTGATGATCCGCCGGCGGAGCAGCCGCAGCAGCCCCGCGCGTCACCGCGCGGCCGCCTCCCCCGCCCCCTGCCGAGAGAGCGGCGCACACCCCCCGCTCGCACCCCCCGCTCGCACCCGCCTGCCCGCCCGCCCTCCGGAGAATGGGGGGATTGGAGATGGTGGGAAGAGGCGGGAGCGGACAGACGGACAGATGGACGTAGCGGGCCAGGGCAGGGTGGAGACATTCCCCCGGATCTCCCACCCTCGGGGCTCTCGCGGTCTCGGAGGGCTGGCGGGGGGGAGAATATCTTAACTACAGGGGGCGGGGCATCATACAAAGAAGGCGGAGCCTTCAGACATGGGGGAGGGGCCATTTGTGCAGTGGGCGGGGTTTACTGGCAATAGGTGGGGCTTTGCTATCTTTCGGGCCGCCTCTTTTTGGTAGTGGGTTTGATTTGAAGCTGAACAGGAGGAGCCTGTGGAAAAAGGGGCGGAACTTTGAGAGAAGACCGGGATCTTTGGAAATTGGCCGGAGCATGGGGGTGGGGGGTTCGAAGAGGCGATCAACTTGGAAAGTGGGCCAATCCTTGACGCAAATCCCCCTAGTCCCGCCCTCAACCCCGCCCCCCCACTGCTTAGCTCCTCTGTTCCTAATTGGTGCTGGTTTCTCCGCCCGCCAGACGTCTTCGCCACTCTGCAGCGGTTTTACAAAGGCGGGTGAAGAGCGCAATGCTGAAATGAACACGGCCCGGATTGGGCGCCTGTGAACCTTATTTGCATGGGCGGTCGGGATTGGCTGGCCTCTTGGGTGGCCTGGGCGGCGTTGGTCCGGTGCGTCCTGTTCTACAGCTATGGCCGGGCCAGCTGCAGCTTTCCGCCGCTTGGGCGCCTTGTCCGGAGCTGCGGCCTTAGGCTTCGCTTCCTACGGGGCGCACGGTCAGGGGGCTGGGGACGAAGATGGGACTGTACTTGGGGCGTCCTCTGGGGTCTGCTGCAAGGGCGTAACCTATGGGAGGTGCCCGGCCTCTCGTTTATCAGACAGTCCGCGGAGCCCTAAACCTTTTAAAGTCCCCCAGCTGGGTCCAATTGGTTCCCAGTACTGCCCGAGCGTGTTCCCACCAATCGGAAGCTTCCTGGGGCGGGGGGGGGGGTGCCCTTTCTCGCCAATGTCCACCTGGGTCCCCCCGGATTGGGGGCGGTCAGGGCTGGCACTAGGACCGCTAACCTTTGCTTCTTTTCTCCACAGGCGCCCAATTCCCAGATGCCTACGGGAAGGAGGTGAAGTAACTGCGCTGGGGCTCCCTGACTCGTGGGTCTACGAAGGCACAAAGTCTGGGGTCCCTGGGGGAAGTGGGCGGGGAGAGGGTGGGGCGAGCCGCGGATCTCTGGAGCAGCAAAGGCCAAAGGCTCTGTAAGCCAAAGGCCTGGGATCAAGCTGGGACTTCAAGGGTGGGGTGGGGGAAGGAACTTTGGTCCCTTGTGTCATCAGGGGATCTCAGTACCTGTATTGCCTACGACATCCCTTCGTTTCTGTTTTTCTTACAGCTGTTTGACAAGGCCAACAAACACCACTTCTTACACAGCCTGGCCCTGTTAGGGGTGCCCCATTGCAGAAAGCCACTCTGGGTAATCTTTCCCTGCGCCTAACCCTGACCAAGCCCCACACACTCCCTCTCAGCCTGCCCTGTTCTTAACAATCCTGTTTTCTGTGCTGTGTCTCCTTCAGGCTGGGTTATTGCTAGCTTCCGGAACGACCTTATTCTGCACCAGCTTTTACTACCAGGCTCTGAGTGGAGACCCCAGCATCCAGACTTTGGCCCCTGCGGGAGGGACCCTGCTACTCTTGGGCTGGCTTGCCTTGGCTCTTTGAGCTCCCTTTTGCTTAATTACTGGGTTTTCTGGGCAGTTTTTTTTTTAAAGAGTTGGAGTAAGAAGAGGATTAAAAAGGAAAGGCAAATAAACTTTGGAGTCTTTGTTCATCTAACCTCTTGGAGGACGAAGGGTGGGGATTCAACCTCTGAACTCCCTCCATTTCCTAAGACTTAATCAGTGAGCCTTAGGTCTGGGGATTCTGGTCACTTTAAGTTAACTTATTATAATGTTCTTACCCTGGTGGGCATCAAAGTCATAAAGAATGCTTGAAATAACACAGATTCCTACTGAAGCACTCTTTCGGGCCTGAGAATCTGTATTTTAATAAGCTCATCTTGTGGTTCTGATGCATACTAGGTTTTTAATTTTATTATTATTATTATTATTATTTTGAGATGGAGTCTTGCTCTGTCGCCCAGGCTGGAATACAGTGGCGCGACCTCGGCTCACTGCAACCTCTGCCTCCCAGGTTCAAGCGATTCTCCTGCCTCGGCCTCCTGAATAGCTGGGATTACAGGCGCCTGCCACCATGCCCAACTAATTTTTTGTATTTTTAGTAGACACGGGGTTGTGCCATGTTGGCAAGGCTGGTTTTGAACTCCCGACCTCAGGTGATCCGCCTGCCTTGGCCTCCCAAAGTGCTGTGATTACAGGTATGAGCCACCACGCCCGGCCTGTTTTTATTTTTATTTTTATTTTTTTGAGACAGAGTTTCACTCTGTTGCCCAGGCTGGAGTGCAGTGGTGCGATTTTGGTTCACTGCAACCTCCACCTCCTGAGTTCAAGTGATTCTCCTGCCTCAGCCTCCCAAGTAGCTGAGATTATAGGTGCATGCCACCATGCCTGGCTAATTTTTGTATTTTTAGTAGAGATGGGGTTTCACCATATTGGCGAAGCTGGTCTTGAACTCCTGACCTCAAGCAATTCACCCGCCTCAGCCTCCCAAAGTACTGGGATTTTAAAAAATTACTATAGGGTCATGGTTTTCAGCCCTGTTGTTATCAGCACCCACTTACTCTAGAAGTGAGGATTAAGGCAAGGCAGGATAGGAGTGTCATTAGTTACAAAATACTTTGGGGTTCAAAGCAGGGACAGATCATGTATTGGGGATCAGAAAATGTGTCACAATGCTTGAGATGATCCTTAAAGGAGCTCTATTGTATGGAAGAAACAATGAACAAAGAACAAGATGGAGAGGGGAGGGGTTTGGAGAAGCAGGAGTCTTCAATGTGGGCTGAGTTTGAGTTAGGTAGGAAAGGAGTGAGAAAAGGTGGCAGGACAGGCTGGAGTGGCAGTCACAGCATGTAGAGAACTGGAAGATATTTAGTGGGGACAGTATTTATTTATTGTGACGCAGTCTTGCCCTGTTACCCAGGCAGGAGTGCAGTGGCACGATCTCAGCTCACTGCAACCTCCGCCTCCCGGGTTCAAGTGATTCTCCTGCCTCAGCCTCCCGAGTAGCTGGGATTACAGGCGCCCGCAACCGCGCCCGGCTAATTTTTGTATTTTTAGTAGAGACGGGGTTTTGCCATGTTGGCCAGGCTGGTCTCAAACTCCCGACCTCAAGTGATCCACCTGCCTCAGCCTTCCAAAGTGCTGGCATTACAGGTGTGAGCCACTGCTCCTGGCAGGCACAGTATTTATTAAACCAGTGTTGATCATGCGTCAGACACGTTACAAGGAAGATCAACCCTGAGGGAGACAGATATCCCCTCCCTCAAGGAGTTTCCCATCTAGTAGTGGAAATGGACCTGAAATAACTAAACATTTATAAAATTTGCAAAACATGTATCATTACAAATTGTGCTGCATGCTGAAAGGAAAGGAACAGAGAGGACCCTGTGCGATGGCTCAAGCCTGTGATCCCAACATTTTGGAAGGCGGACGTGGGAACATTGCTCGAGCCCAGGAGTTCGAGACCAGCCTGGATAACACAGGGAGACCCCTGTCTTTACAAAAATAAAAAAATAGCGAGGCGTGGTGGCTCACGCCTGTAATCCTAGCACTTTGGGAGGCCGAGGTGGGCGGATCACAAGGTCAGGAGATCGACACTATCCTGGCTAACACGGTGAAACCCCGTCTCTCCTGAAAATACAAAAAAAAATTAGCTGGGCGTGGTGCCGGGCGCCTGTAGTCCCAGCTACTCGGGAGGCTGAGGCAGGAGAATGGCATGAGGCTGAGGCAGGAGAATGGCATGAACCCAGGAGGCGGAGCTTGCAGTGAGCCGAGATAGTGCCACTGCACTCCAGCCTGGGCGACAGAGCGAGACTCCGTCTCAAAAAATAAATAAATGAATAAATAAAAATAAAAATAAAAATAAATAGCCATGGCCAGGTGCGGTGGCTCATGCCTGTAATCCCAGCACTTTGGGAGGCTGAGGCGGGTGGATCACGAGGTCAGGAGATCGAGACCATCCTGGCTAACACAGTGAAACCCCTGTCTCTACTAAAAATACAAAAAAATTAGCCGGGCATGGTGGTGGGAACCTGTGGTCCCAGCTACTCGGGAGGCTGAGGCAGGAGAATGGCGTGAACCCGGGAGGCGGAGCTTGCAGTGAGCCGCGATGGCGCCACTGCACTCCAGCCTGGGCGACAGAGCCAGACTCCGTCTCAAAAAAAAAAAAAAAAAAAAATAGCCAGGTGTAGTGGCTTGTGCCTGTAGCCTGCAGGCCCAGCTACTCGGGAGGCTGAGTTTGGAGGAACACATGTCTGGTTCCTGACTCATCTTTTTTTTTTTTTTTTTTTTTTTTGAGTCAGAGTTTCGCTGGTTGCCCAGGCTGGAGTGCAATGGTGCGATCTCGGCTCACTACAATGTCCGCCTCCTGGGTTCGAGCAATTTTCCTGAATCAGCCTCCCAAGTAGCTGGAATTACAGGCATGCGCCACCATGCCCGGCAAATTTTGTATTTTTAGTAGAGACAGGGTTTCTTCATGCTGGTCAGGCTAATCTCAAACTCGCGACCTCAGGTGATCCGCCCGCCTCGGCCTCCCAAAGTGCTGGGATTACAGACATGAGCCACTGTGCCTGGCCTCTGACTCATCTTTAAAATGAAGAAATATTGTGATCTACGAGTGTACCTCAAATTATGCCATCTCCCTGGATATACATGCTTCATTGGCTCCCCTTTGCCCTCAGAAGACAGTACAACATCTCCGCACAAGGCCCTCCACCATTTGGCCCTGTCATCCTTCTCACAATCCTCAGGCCAGCCCCTAGGAATTCCTTCAGGTCTCTAACACACTCTCTTGCTTCAGGGAAGCCTGGAAAGCTGCTGTTACAGGAGTCGGGAGCTCAGTAGAGACTAGTGTTGGTGATAGAAATTCTGCAATTAAAAGCATGCAGATTGTAACTAGAGATACGGAATGAGATGAAATTACCTAAAATCTTCTCATTAGAGAAAAAATCTGCACACTTTTAAAAATGCATACCGGCAGGGCACAGTGGCTCACACCTGTAATCCCAGCACTTTGGGAGGCTGAGGCATGCAAATCAAGAGGTCAGGAGTTTGAGACCAGGCTGGGCAACATGGTGAAACCCTGTCTCTACTAAAAATTTAAAAAATTAGCTGGGCGTAGTGGTGGGTGCCTGTAATCCCAGCTACTCGGGAGGCTGAGGCAGGAGAATCGCTTGAACCCAGGAGGCGGAGGTTGCAGTGAGCCAAGATCATGTCATTGCACCACTCCAGCCCAGGCGACAGAGTAAGACTCTGTCTCAAAAAAAAAAAAAAAAAAAAAAAAAAAAAGCATACCTTCAGGCCAGTCGCAGCAGCTCACGCCTGTAGTCCCAGCACCTGTAATCCTGGGAGGCTGAGGCAGGTGGATAACATGAGTCCAGGAGTTCGAGACGAGCCTGGCCAACATGGTGAAATGCCGTCTCTACTAAAAATACACAAATTAGCTGGCGTGGTGGTGCATGGTGCTTGTAATCCCAACTACTTGGGTGTCTGAGGCACGAGGATCGCTTGAACCCAGGAGGCGGAGGTTGCAGTGAGCCAAGATCGTGTCACTGCTCTCCAGCCTGGGCAACAGAGCAAGACCTGTCTCAAAAAAGAAAAAAATGCATACCTTCAGAAAAATTAAGTATGCCTTCAATATATTATACAGATTGTACTATATAAAGCATACACAAAAATAGAAATTAAAAATGATGATAGCTGGGTGCGGTGGTGTGTGCCTATAGTCTCACCTACTCAGGAGGCTGAGGCAGAAGGATTGCTTGAGGTTAGGAGTTTGAGACTAGTGTGCTAAGATCAAGCCTGTGAATAGCCACTATACTCCAGCCTGGGCAACACAGCAAGACCCCATCTCAAAAAAAAAAAAAAGAGTGACTTAAACTTTTCAATGACTTACTTACTACTGCACTGCAAATAGATTCCAAGTGCCATACCACTGTCTCCAAGGCCTGCACTGGCCATCCGGGCTTTGTGATTCTTTGTCACTACATGGCATCCACATTGCCAACCCACCACATTTTCTTCTGCCTCAAGATTTTGAGCTGCTCTTTTCAGCCTGTTTTGCAGTTATTCTTTGTGCCTAGAATACACTTCTACACTTTGTGCAAGCTTAGTTTAGCTTCAATAGGATCACCTTGGTGAGGCCTTCCACATCTGAAGGGGCACACCCTCCACCCTCCAGCTGTTCCACCGCCTCTCTGTGCTTTTTCGTTTTGTTTGAGACAGGGTCTCGCTTTGTCACCCAGCTGTAATGCAGTGGTGCCATAAGGACTCGCTGCAGTCTCCATCTCCCAGGGTCAAGCAATTCTCTCACCTCGGCCTCCCGAGTAGCTGGGACTACAGGTGTAAGCTACCACGACTAGCTAATTATTACTTTTTTGTAGAGATGGGGTCTTGCCGGGTGCGGTGGCTCATGCCTGTAATCCCAACACTTTGGGAGGCCGAGGCGGGCAGATCACAAGTTCAGGAGTTCGAGACCAGCCTGTCCGGCATGGTGAAACCCAATCTCTACTAAAAATACAAAAATTATCAGGGTATGGTGGTGCGCACCTGTAGTCCCAGCTACTCGGGAGGCTGAGGCAGGAGAATTGCTTGAACCCAGGAGGTTCAAGAAAGAGATGAGATGGGGTCTCACCATGTCGGCTGCCTAGGCTAGTCTCGAACTGCTAGGCTCAAGCAATCCTCCTGCTTCAGCCCCCTACCCAGTTACTTGGGAGGCTACAGTGGGAGAATAGCTAGAGCTCAGGCGTTCAAGAGCAGCCTGGGCAACATAGTGAGATGCTGTCTCTAAAAAAATAAAAATATCCCAGCACTTTGGGAGGCCGAGGCAGGTGGATGACCTGAGGTCAGGAGTTCAAGAACAGCCTGGCCAAAGTGGTGAAACGCTGTCTCTACTAAAAATACAAAAATTATCTAGGTGTGGTGGCAGGCACCTGTAATCCCAGCTACTCAGGAGGCTGAGGCAGGAGAATCGCTTAAACCTGGGAGGCCATTGCACTCCAGCCTGGGCAACGAGAGCAAAACTCCATCTCAAAAATAATAATAATAATAATAAAATAATAATAATGTGGTAGTATGTGCCTGTAGTCCCAGCTTGAGGATCCCCAGGCATGAGGATAGCTTGAGCCTAAGAATTTTGTTTTGTTTTTGTTTGAGATGTAGTCTCGCTCTGTTGCCCAGGCTGGAATGCAGTGGTGCAATCTCAGCTTGCTGCAGCCTCTGCCTCCCGGGTTCAAGCGATTCTCATGCCTCAGCCTCCTGAGTAGCTGGGATTACAGGCATGTGCCAACCACGCCTGGGCAATTTTTTTGTATTTTTAGTGGAGACGGGGTTTCACTGTGTTGGCCGGGCTGGTCTCAAACTCCTGATCTTCAGTGCTCTGCCTGCCTGGGCAGAGTGGGATTAGAGATGTGAAGTACTGGAATTAGAGATGTGAGCCACTGTGCCCGGCCGAACCTAGGAGTTTGAGGCTGCAGTGATCTCTGATGGTGCCACTGCACTCCCTCCTGGGTGACGGAGCAAGACCTCAGTCTCATAAATAAATAAATAAATATGCTGGGTGTGATGGCCCACACCTGTAATCTCAGCACTTTCGGAGGCTGAGGCAGGTGTACTGTTGGAGCCCAGGAGTTGAAGACCAGCCTGGGCAACATGGCAAAACCCCATCTCTACAAAAAATACAAAAATTAGCTGGACATGGTGGCCCATGCCTGTAGTCCCAGGTACTCGGGAGGCTGAGGTGGGAGGATGCCTTGATCCTGGGAAACAGAAGTTGTAATGAGTGGAGATCATGCCACTGTATTCCAGCCTGGGCAACAGAGCAAGACCCTGTCTCAATAAACAAACAAACAAACAAACAAACAAACCCTTAGAGGGGACCTCCAGAGTGGCCCAAAGGGGCTGGGTGCAGTAGCTCATGCCTGTAATCCCAACACTTTGGGAGGCCAAGGTGTAAGGATCACTTGAGGCCAAGAGTTCCAGACCGGCCTGGCCAACATGCAGAAACCCTGTCTCTACTAAAAATACAAAAATTAGCCGGGTGTGGTGGCTGTAGTCCTGGCTGCTTGGGAGGCTGAGGCAGAAGAATTGCTTGAGCCTGGGAGGTGGAGGTTGCAGTGAGCCAAGATAGCGCCACTGCACTCCAGCCTGGGTGGCAGAGTGAGACTCTCAAAAAAACAGAAAAACCAGAGTGACCCAAAGGTCCAGTGGCAGAGCCAAGGCTGGGTCTGTAGGCTCCTTCCTCCCAGTCCAGTGCTCTCACTGCATTTCCATCCTTCACCTCAGGTGGCATCTAGGGCACAGGGGGAACCTCCACATGGAGAACCACTGCAGTACGTCTCACGTCTCTTCTCTGTCCAGACCCTCCAACATTTCCCATCTCAGGGTATAATTCAGTGGACTAAAAGGCCATGCGTGACCTGGCTTCTTGTGACCCCTCTGACCTTCCCCTCATTAACTCCATTCCAGTCTCACTGGTCTTCTGCCTCAGGACCTATGCCCTTGCTGTTCCCTCTGCCTGAAACACTTACCCAGTAATCTGCACAGCTCAGTCCCTCATCTCCTTTAGGTTCTGGGTCAACTATCATCTTCTTTCTTTCTTTCTTTCTTTTCTTTCTTTTTTTTTTTTGAGACGGAGTCTTGCTTTGTCGCCAGGCTGGAGTGCAGTGGCAAGATCTCAGCTCACTACAACCTCTGCCTCCCAGGTTCAAGCGATTCCCCTGCCTCAGCCTCCCGAGTAGCTGGGACTACAAGCGCCCGCCACCACACCTGGCTAATTTTTTTGTATTTTAGTAGAGACGGGGTTTCACCATATTGGCCAGGATGGTCTCCATCTCCTGACCTCATGATTCGCCTGCCTCGGCCTCCCAAAGTGCTGGGATTACAGGCGTGAGCCACCGTGCCCGGCCTAACTATCGCCTTATTGGTGATGCCTTCGCCTTATTGGTGATGTCTAAATAAATATTTATTTATTTATTTATTTATTTTGAGATGGAGTCTCGCTCTGTTGCCCAGGCTGGAGTGCAATGGCGTAATCTCGGCTCACTGCAACCTCTGCCTCCCGGGTTCAAGAGTTTCTCCTACCTCAGCCTCCTGCATAGCTGGGACTACAGGCGCCCGCCACCACACCCGGCTAATTTTTGTATTTTTAGTAGAGATGGGTTTTTGCCATGTTGGCCAGGCTGGTCTCAAACTCCTGACCTCAGGTGATCCGCCCACCTCGGCCTCCCAAAGTGCTGGAATTACAGGCGTGAGCCACCGCGCCCCGCCACGATCTTTCTAAAACACACATTTGACCTTCTTTGTTCTAAAAATGTCTCGGTGGACTCCTCGCTGCTCGTGGGGCCAAATCGCAGCTTCCACACAACCCGCCCTGTATGTGGACTGCACTCCGTTTCTAAACTCATCTCTTGCGCCACTCAGCCAGTGGCCCCCAAGGCAGGACTGGTCCTGGCTCAGGATCCAGTCGAAGACACTCATCTCGGGGGTCTTTTCTGACCGCGCTTCCTCCTCTGGCCCTCTAGGCGGCCTGAGCACGCTCACTGACACCGTTTGGCGGCCTGTCACCCGCGTGGCTGGGGCACCTGCAGAAACTGCTGTCGCTGCGAGGTGCCCGTGTGGGTCACCGCTGTGCCAGGGAGAGAAGACGGCGAGGTCGCCCCTGGGAGGCAGAAGGCGAGCCAGGAGCCAGTCCTGGAAGCCAATGAGTGAGTGTGAAGGGTGTTCCGCTGCGTCAGCGAGGCCCGACTGCCCTTGGGAGGAGGAGCCCAGGGGCCAGCGCGGCCCGGGCCGCCCTCGCCTCCCACCCAGGGCGCTGAGCACGCACGCCGCCGGCCTGGCGGCGTTCGCGGGGCCCGGGACCAGCCGCCGCCTTCTCCAGGCGCTCCTACTCTCTGGGCATCTGCAGTCCGAGCGGAAGGGGCGGGAACGTCGGCGACGCCGAGGAGCAAAGCCCACGATCGGCTTCCCGGGGCAGCGGACGGCTGCCTTCCTCCCGGCGCAAACGCACCGCCCAGGAGGGGGCGGGCTCGGCGGGTCGGGGGGCGGGGCCGGGGTCCGAGCTCGGGCCCGCCTCCGCCTCCGCCAGCTCCTGTGAGCTGCCGAGTGCTAGGCACCCGGGCTCTTCTGGGGGCTCCAGGTGAGCGGGGGCACAGAGGGGTCAGGGAGACCGCCCTTGGGGTGGGGCTGTCGGTCTGACCGCGGGTCCATCTGTCCTGCCGTCGGCCCACAGCCTCCTCCGCAGGATGGGAGAACAAAGGGAGGGGGCGGTTCTGGGGCCCCCGAGGGAATCCAGGGTCCCAGGTACCCGGTCCCGCCCACTGACACTTGGGTTTCTCCCCGAGTCAGAGGCGCCGCCCAAGAGACCCTGGGCCGGCGCCGGGCGCAGCTGCCTCTCCGTCTTTGTGTCTGTCTCTGTGTCTGTCTGGCTATCTCCGAGTTTGCCTCCGCTTCCAGAACTAAGCCACCCAGACACCATCATCTCGAAAACCCCAGCCCTTCTCCCATGGCAGGTAAGTGCGCGCAAGTCTGGGGGTCTCCGTTATCCCCCCCACGGACTTGGGAGCCGGGTTTGAACACATCCTCCCGGAATGTGCTCGGACTGGCTGGGTGGGGCCCCTCCCTTCCTTCCGGGGAACCTCCACCCTGCTCCCCTGCCCCATCTTTCTCTGCCTCTTGCCACCACGTTTCCCCCGAAGCCTCGCGGCCCATGGGCTGAGGAATAAGGGGATGAGGCCTTGAGTCCCTTTCTAATCTATCCTGCTCCCACCGCTTTACAGGCTACTTGCCCCCCAAAGGCTACGCCCCTTCGCCCCCACCTCCCTACCCTGTCACCCCTGGGTACCCGGAGCCGGCGCTACATCCTGGGCCCGGGCAGGCGCCAGTGCCCGCCCAGGTACCTGCCCCAGCTCCCGGCTTCGCCCTCTTCCCCTCGCCTGGCCCCGTGGCCTTGGGGTCTGCTGCCCCCTTCTTGCCACTGCCAGGGGTGCCTTCTGGCCTCGAATTCCTGGTGCAGGTGAGTGGGAAGGAGGGAGGGAGGATGACTGGGAGGGGACTTGGGCGTCCAGATGGGCCAGCTGATGTGCGCGCCGCCCCTCTCTTTCCAGATTGATCAGATTTTGATTCACCAGAAGGCTGAGCGAGTGGAAAGTAAGTAGAAGGAGTGGGAGGTTGGACCTCATGATGGTGGCCCGGATGGTGGGCTCCTGGGCGCGCGAGGCTCTACGAGTCTCCCCGTGTCACCTCGGGCAGCGTTCCTAGGCTGGGAGACCTGTAATCGGTATGAACTGCGCTCTGGGGCCGGGCAGCCCCTGGGTCAGGCGGCCGAGGAGAGCAACTGCTGCGCCCGTCTGTGCTGTGGCGCCCGCCGGCCGCTGCGTGTCCGCCTGGCCGACCCCGGGGACCGTGAGGTGCTGCGTTTGCTCCGCCCGCTGCACTGTGGCTGCAGCTGCTGCCCCTGTGGCCTCCAGGAGGTGGGCGGAGGGAGGGGGCCGGGAGGGCGGGCCTTGGTGGGGCGGGACAATGATGAGGTCCACCTGAGATGAGGCCTGGATCAGGTGGGAGTGGGCAGGTGGGGATGGGAGGTTTAGTGAGGGCCAAATAGACAGATGATAGAGCTGGGACCCCTGCCTCCGCAGTGACCCTGTCTGCTTCCCACTCCCAGATGGAAGTACAGGCTCCACCAGGCACCACCATTGGCCACGTGCTACAGACCTGGCATCCCTTCCTCCCCAAGTTCTCCATCCAGGATGCCGATCGCCAGACAGTCTTGCGAGTGGTGGGGCCCTGCTGGACCTGTGGCTGTGGCACAGACACCAACTTTGAGGTATCAGGAATACTAGAGGCTCTTGGGACCTTCGTAAACCAAGATGATGCTTCCATGAGGCAGGATAGTTAACATTAAGGTCAAGACCCTGAGCTCATCAATCCAAATCCACTGTGACTCCGACCGCATTTGTAGCATTCCTCCATTTGGAAATAGGATGGCCCTGTGCTCTTATAAAAGCATAACAACGAGGATTTCATCTTAAGGAGCAATGCTGATTATTACAAGTGGCCCTGAGATGGGCAGAAAAAAAATCTAAGGCCAGCCTGGATTTGGGGTGAAGGACGATTAAGTCTGTGTGGGCCGGGCCCATGTGGCTGCTGTGTATGAGTGTGTGAGCCCAGGCCCTGGAGCAAGCACGATTTTAACATGTTAACATCCTGTGGCCTGCCCTGCTAAAATAGAATCCAAATGCCCCTGCCATTCCGAAATCCAGTATATCCTTCTCACTGTGCATTCCTGTCACCAGTCTGGAAGCTAGAGATCCCAAGTGGCAAGAATTTCAGAGTGAGGTGAGGCCTGGGAAGCACCTTGGTTTCTAGAAGACAAAGGCACTCCACAGACCCTTGAGTTCTTTTTTTGTTTGTTTTTTGTTTGTTTGTTTTGAGACAGAGTCTTGCTCTTGTTGCCCAGGTGGGAGTGCTATGGCATGATCTCAGCTCACTGCAGTCTTTGCCTCCCGGGTTCAAGCAATTCTCCTGCCTAAACCTCCCGAGTAGCTAGGATTACAGGCATGCGCCGCCATGCCTGGCTAATTTTATATTTTTAGTAGAGACGAGGTTTCTCCATGTTGGTCAGGCTGGTCTCGAACTCCTGACCTCAGGTGATCCGCCCACCTCAGCCTCCCAAAGTGCTGGGATTACAGGCGTGAGCCACCGCACCTGACCGACCCTTGAGTTCTTTAAGGGATAATTGCTTGTGCAGATAAGGGAGAAACAACAGGTATAATCCAGTAGACTTTCCAACGCTTCTAATGAGGTACCCTACCTAAGGTTACTTTGCAAAAATGAGTCACCTTGGTAGCCAGAGGGAGATTCCATGATGAGAACCAATTGGGAATAAGATATAATAACTGCGTGATCTCCAGATGGGAATGTATAGGCTGTGGGGTTCTCATAGGGCCAGTGTCCCTTTTGCATAATTATAAATGGTCCATACTTGGGGCTGTACCCTTAGGACCATGGCAGGAAGTGCCCCAGAGCTGTAGGACAGTGCAGGAAGGGGATGGGAATGGCACAAAAGGAAATCACTGCAGTTCTAATCACTGGAGAACGAGCACAGGAAAAGGACCAGGAAGTCACGGGGAGTAACTACCCACATCAGCAGAGCCTGTTGCTGTGTGGCTCAGAGAAGCCAGTGGAAATTGTGGTCCTCAAAGGCTACTTACTGCTGCCTCTCTCCACAGTAGATAGGCATGTATCCCTCTCTAGATGAGGCTCTCATGCAGTGCTGGGCAAGGCCCTCCCCTACTTTGCAGATTAGAGAAAAGGTACTCTTCGGGGTAGACATAGCCTTCTAGGAGCCTTCTTGACTGGTGAAGTACAGCCAGAATTCCAGTAGCTTTCCTTGCCCTTTTGGCCAGGTTACTTTGTGTAGGGCACAAGCTGTGCCAATTGTGGGTGGCAGGGGCATTGGGAACCAGAGCAAACCTAGCAAACAGCCATACCCTAAGGGGGTTGGATTGTCATGCTTCCATTTCTCCCACCACTGATGTTCAGTTATGTCATGCGTCGCCTTTCGATAGCAGCAGATCTGAGTCTGAATCCTAATTTTGGGTATAGACTCAGCGTGATCTAGAGTGCCTCAGTTTCCCCAGCTGTCATACTCTGTGATGGGAACCAGTTAGGAAAGCGATCACTCGGTGACCATTAGAGGGGAAGATTCACTGAGTGGAGACCCTGCAAATTCATACGTGCGACTGTGGGAATGAGACTGGAGCAGGTGAGACTGGCTGCCTCCTCCTCAGCTGGGTCCTTTCTCCCTCCCTGATGACAGGTGAAGACTCGGGATGAATCCCGCAGTGTGGGCCGCATCAGCAAGCAGTGGGGGGGCCTGGTCCGAGAAGCCCTCACAGATGCAGATGACTTTGGCCTACAGTTCCCGCTGGACCTGGATGTGAGGGTGAAGGCTGTGCTGCTGGGAGCCACATTCCTCATTGTGAGTTGGCTGCCCCTGCCCCCACCTCCTGCCTGTCCTTTGCTGTCATTTGAAGCTTTATGCATTTCCTGGCCTCTTGCTAGGGGAAAGTCAGGAATAGGTGTTGTGGGGGTTGAGGTTCTAGAGCTGGCCTGTGACAGCCAAGCTGGGCTGGCCCAGCCGGATCTCCCATTGACAGTGGCCTCCTCTTAGGACTACATGTTCTTTGAGAAGCGAGGAGGCGCTGGGCCCTCTGCCGTCACCAGTTAGAGGCCACCATGGTGTGAGGAGACCATCACCTCGACCAGAACTCCAGATGGTCACCTGCCCTGGCCCCTCCTCTGGGCAGCCCCTTTCCTCCATGTACACTGCAGGGGACAGAAGGGGGGCCCCATCCCTACCCTACTCCCTGGCCGCCTGCCCCTGTGGTTCCCAAGGAGGGGTATGTATGAGAGCCGCTCTCCTGCTACCTCCCACCACTGTCCCAGCAGTCCCTCGGCACACAGGCATATCAGCTTTCACACTTTCCCCATGCACTCTCTCCCACCCCCTTCCAGGGCCTCTGCTCCAAAGGAGGCCTCTGGAACCCAGGACTCTGGGGTTTTACAAGAGGGCTGGGGTGTGGAAGGGCAAGCTGCACCAAAGACGGTGGATATAGCCACCGCCCCCCCGCCGCTGCCTAGCATCTGCTTGGCCAATTAGTTCAGCCTCAGACCATGGCACTTTGAGGGGGTCTCTACCTCCCCATCAACAGCTGCAGGGGGACCCCAGTGCCAACTTCCTCTCCCACTAGGGCCCTGCCTTCAGCTGGTGCTTGCTGCGATTCCTGTGCCTTATGTAACTGCCCTTCCTTCCCTTGCCCTAGGAAAAAGGCTGCATCTTTATATGTTACATTCATATAAACTTTGTAACTTTTTGGACATTGAAAGATGTATGTAATAGGGGAGGGTAGAAGCAGTTGGTATGGGAAAAAACAAAGGGGAATGTGAGAGCTGGGCTGGGGCAGGGGCTAGTCCATCTCATAATCCATACTACCAGCATCAAATGTCCTTGAGTGCAAGAGAGCAATCGTCATCACCCACGATGGCCCTGGACCAAACGAAGGCAGTTTGGGCCTATACCCCAAGTCAATATGGTGGCTTCCATCATCCAGGATGGCTGCCCTGCAGAGTCCAGTGTGGTAGCTGATGGCAGTTCAGGATGGCTGTTCACATGGTCCAGTGTGGCCCCTTGATCCTCTCTAGCGCGTAGAAGCTTCCTCTGCATATGATGTATAGCAGCTCTTTTCTTCCAAGTCCTCTTGTTTGAGAATGTAGTGGGCAGACTAGATCCTTCTTGGC
This sequence comes from Homo sapiens, assembly GCF_000001405.40. NCBI lineage: Eukaryota > Metazoa > Chordata > Mammalia > Primates > Hominidae > Homo > Homo sapiens. The sequence continues at coordinate 7,389,314 of NC_000017.11, read as the reverse complement.
CCAGCCAAAGGAGCTTCAGCCTTCAGAAGCCAAGGAGCATGGGAGGGAGGAGACATTTGCCAGTGCCCAACTCTGGGCTCCTCCTCCATGTGCCTACGGCAGGTGGGATCTCCCCAGGTGGAACGTCTACCCCTGTCGGGACCTTGTTCTGGTTCCGCTTGGTCCCATGTGGCCAGGCCCTCAGGGGCCTAGGCTTTTCATGCTGGTGTCTGTGCCCGCAGAAGCTGAGCTCAGGGCCTGGCCAGGACATAGCGGCTGGCAGCTGAGAGGTCCCACTGGTAATGCTCCAGGATGCGCCAGCAGTCAGCTCTGGACCGGCTACTCAGGTGGAAGAGCTGATCTACCTGTGGAAGCAGGAGGGTGGGTTGCAGCTGACTGCCAGGCGGCAGGGGCAGGAGAGGAGGGACCCCAAGAGAAGGGGCTGGCTTTACCTTGAGGTTCCGGATGGCAGAAACCACATCTCCCCCAGTGGCTCCTAGTGCTGTCTGGCACTCCTGGTGGGTGACCCCATGCACACTCAGCTCCACCTGTGACAGACAAAGCCTCACTCAGGCCCCTGCCCCTGCCTGTAGCCCCTTCTGGACACCAGGCCATTTCAGTGAGACCTCACCTCCATAATCTTCCTCTGCAACTCAGGATCGGACAAGAGGCCTCCAGAGAGGGCAGCGGCTTTACGGGCTCCAGGCATTCCCATGGGGTGATTGTGTGGGGGTTTTCTTTTGGGCCAGGGAAGCCTCTCCCTAGAGGGCTGGCTGGGCTGAGGAGAGCTAGAGGATAAAGGTGGGCGTGGAGGCAGGCCTGGAGGTCCCTGGGGCACAGCTCTGGCTTGTCGAATTTCAGGGGGGCTTGAACCACCCCCTGTGGGACGAGGACCGAGGGACAGAACTGACTCCAGACTCCTGGAAATGCCTGCACAGTTGAGAAGGAAACAACTTGAACTCGGCTGGCTGCAGCCTCCGCCTCCCGGGCTCAAGCGATCCTCCCACCTCAGCCTCCCGAGTAGCTGGGACTATAGGTGCCTGCCATTACGACTGGCTAATTTTTGTATTTTTGTAGAGAAGGGGTTTCGGCACATTGCCCAGGCTGGTCTCAAACTCCTGGACTCAAGCCATCCACCCACGCTGGGCTCCCAAAGTGCTGGGATTACAGGCTTGAGCCACCATGCCTGGCCCCACTCTCTGTCTTCATCTGTGCTGAGCTGGATGGTTTTGCAAGCATTTGCAGATGAGCTAGCCAGCCCTGTCCCTGGGTGGTTCATGTGTCAGGTGGGACAATAAGACAGATGGGCAAGTGGACACCAAGGCCTAGGCGGAGGGCCCAGAGAACTCAGAGCTCAGGGCCCAGAGTGTGGAGGTGCTCTTCAGAAGGGAAGGCAGGAGGGCTTCCTATCTTTTAAGATTCCACAGTATAGGGCCGGACGCAGTGTCTCACGCCTGTAATCCCAGCACTTTGAGAGGCCGAGGCAGGCAGATCACCCGAGGTGGGGAGTTCAAGGCCAGCCTGGGCAACAGGGTGAAACCTCATCTCTACTAAAAATACAAAATTAGCCGGGTGTGGTGGCACATGCCTGTAGTCCCAGCTACTCGGGAGGCTGAGGCAGGAGAATCGCTTGAACCCGGGAGGTGGAGGTTGCGGTGAGCCAAGATCACGCTACTGCACTCCAGCCTGGGCAAAAAGAGTGAAACTCTGTCTCAAAAAAAAAAAAAAAAAATAGATTGCACAGTATAGCTAGGATGCCAGCAGACAGAATTCAGAGGAAGGAAATAATAGATGCAAAGGCATGGATTTAGGGCAGGGGGTCGGAATTGAAGGACTGGTCTTGATCTCCTCAGAGACTCTGGAGTCCACCACACCCACCTTTCATCCTCTCCAGGGGCATGTTCCTCCTCTGGCCCCGTGCTGGGGGCGCATCCCAAAGATTTGCCTTCTTTCTGTCTCTGTCGGAGAGGGATCCAGTTCATCCTCCACACCAACTCTCCCCACCCCACAGATCAATATACCCTCCCAAAAAAACTCACAGGGGAACCCAGGAGACCCAGGGCCCAGGGTGGAGGCTGCAGCTTCACTCTGGTCCTGTCCCCAGGCTTCTCTTCCAGAGAAGCTCCTGGACCTCATCAGTTCTCCCAGCCAACCCCTGCCCTCACCCTTTCAGGTCCTCACCCATCTATGCTTCCTGGGTGTTGATCTCCCCGGGCAGGGGTGCCTCTGTGGACTGGACGGGTGGCTGGCAAGCCCCCCGCATCTGCCAGCGTCACTGCCGAGGCTGGGAAGCTGCCCACTTTGAAGGTGCGACCATTCTGGCCCTTCCAGATTGTGGAGTCGGGGCTGTGGAAAGAGGAGCTGGTAAATAGGATGGGAATAAGGGCAAGAGTTAGGGCTGGGCCCTGGCCCACAGTCAGCTCACTAGGCTATGTGCCTTGGAGCCGCATCTGCCTGGAGGAAGGGAAGCCTTTTCCCTAATGCAATAAGGCTCTATGGGCCAGCAGTGGCTCCAGCAGGGAGGCCAGGACCATGCTGGAGCTTTCAGGACCCAGTGGGGAGAGGAGATGAGACAGAAGATCAGGGTTCAAGGAGCTGGAGAGAAGCAGAGAAGGGATCAGGAATTAGGCTGGGAGGGTATCCTCCTCCTGAGGGTGCTTGGGAGGTATGGGACTGTCACCTGCCCTCGATGACTGTGATGGGGTCACCAGTCTCCATCCTCAGGGCGCCTGGTTCTGTGACATCCCTCACACAACATGCTTCCGAAGGCCCGGCCTGTGGAGACAAGAGGAAAGGGTGGCTGGGCTTGTGGCCTGAGTCAGATAGGTAATATGGGAGCAGGAATAAAGAGGAGCTCCGCTCTGTATGTAGTCTGTGCTGGGCCCAGGGTGGGACTCTCCCTGTCCCCCCATTGTAATTCAGTGAGGGAGGCAGACCTGGATCCCATGACAAACAGGTCAGGGCTCAAGGAGCAAGAGAGGAGGGCCCTGGCTCTACCTGGGGGGACTAACAGGAGCGTCATCCTGTACACTGCTTTCACTCCACATCCAGGCCTGTCAGAGCAGCCTCCCAAGCCCCTCTGGGAAATTTCCACTCCTCTGCAGCCCCACCGCCTCTACCCTCATCCAGACCTCTTCATCTCCCTTCTGCTTCACAGCCACTGTTGCCTACCTGGTCTCCCAGCCTCAGCATCATCCCTCTAATCCATTCTTGCGCCACATCAGAGTGCCGTCATGGTGAGAGTGGCTTGTAACTCCCCTGCCTAATAGGCTTCCCTGGCTCCCAAATGCCTTCAGAGTAAAGACTAAGCTTTAGTGGTAGAGTGTAGCAGCTTAGGGAACAGCTCTGAAGTCAAACTGACTGGCTCAAATCCCAACTCCTCCACTTACCATGTGACTTTAGGCAAGTCACTTAAACTCTCAGTGCCTCAACTGCCCATCAGTAACATGGAGATAATAATTACCTCATCCAGGCCGGGCACGGTGGCTCATGCCTGTAATCCCAACACTTTGGGAGGCCAAGGCAGGTGGATCATTTGAGGTCAGGAGTTCGAAACCAGCCTGGCCAACATGGTGAAACCCCATCTCTACTAAAAATACAAAAATTAGCCAGGCGTGGTGGCAGGCGCCTGTAATCCCAGCTACTCGGGAGGCTGAAACAGGAGAATTGCTTGAACCCAGGAGGCGGAGGTTGCAGTGAGCCAAGATCCCACCACTGCACTCCAGCTAGGGTGACAGAGCAAGACTGTCTCAAAATAAAATACTACTAATAATAATTACCTCATCCAGTGGTTGAGAGCATTAAATGAGCGAATCTGCATAAGCGCCCATGTAAAGTGCACAGTGCAGTGTCCTGCACAGGTCAAGTGCTCTACGTGTTAGCTTAACACGCCTTGCAAAGCCCTCCATGACACAGCTCCTGCTCTCTCTGTGGCCTCATTACTTCTTCTTCTTCTTCTTTTTTTTTTTTTTGAGACGGAGTTCGCTCTTTTTGCCCAGGCTGGAGTGCGATGGTGTGATCTCGGCTCACCGCAACCTCTGCCTCCCAGGTTCAAGCGATTCTCCTGCCTCAGCCTCCCGAGTAGCTGGGATTACAGGCATGCACCACCAGACCCAGCTAATTTTGTATTTTTTAGTAGAGACGGGGTTTCTCCATGTTGGTCAGGCTGGTCTTGAACTCCCGACCTCAGGTGATCTGCCCACCTCCGCCTCCCAAAGTGCTGGGATTAGAGACGTGAGCCACCGCGCCCGGCCTGCGGCTTCATTATTTCTATTTTCCCCTCCCACGCTGAGCCCTTCTCTTCCTCTGCGTGTCAACACGACTGCAACTGAGTGCTGTCTCCTCTATGCCCCTTTCCTGGCCCAGACACAGACCCCAGCCTTTCAGTCTGCATCTGTGTAGCCCCAAGCTGCCTCCCCAGGGCTCTGATCTCCCTGCAGGTAGGGACTGCATCTGTTTTGCTCAGAGCTGAGTCCCAGAGCCCAGCACAGACATCTAGATGTGTTAGTCTTCGCATGGAACCCTGGGAGAGCGAATGGAGGGAAGAGGGACTGTGTATCTGGTGAGGTCGGGGGTTCCCACCTCTTGCAGCAGCCCCTCCAGGTGGGAAAAGCTAGGCCGGTCGGCAGGGTGGGGGGCCCAGCAGCGCAAGGCGAGGGAGTAGAGGGCCCTGGAGCAGAGGGGAGGCCTAGGCAGCCGGGCTCTGTCCTCCAGCCGCTGCAGGATGAGGTACGGTGGGACCCCGGCCCAGGGTTCCTCGCCCCCGGAGAACATCTCCCACAGCGTCACCCCAAACATCCACACGTCCGAGGCAGACGAGAAGGCTCCGTGGCGCAGGCTCTCTGGGGCACACCTGCCGAAGGAAGTGGAGCTGAAAGGGGCGGGACACGTGCTCCTTGGAGGCCCACCCTCCACGGAGCACCCCCGAGTGCACCCATCTTTCACAAAAGTCCTCTTTGCCTAGGAGGATAACCCTTCTGGTCCAAGCCTCCCTCAGAAGCCCGGCCCCCTCCGATCTCCCTCGGCTGCTGCCCTCCGGATCCGCCCGGCTCAGAGCCCGACCGCCCGCGGACCCGCTCTCACCAGGCGTAGGGGATAGGGCGGGGCCCGCCCATGACGTAGCGGCCCCGGGCACCGCCCAGAGGCCGCACCAGCCCGAAGTCAGCCACCTTGATGGTGCGCGGCGACGCCAGCAGTAGGTTGCGCGTAGCGAGGTCTCGGTGCACCAGCCCGCGGGCCCCCAGGTACGCCATGGCTCCCGCCAGCTGCCGCAGGAAGAGGCAGAGCAGGGCCACGAGCAGCGGGGGTGTCGGGGCCGGGGCCGTTAGGCGCGCGTGCAGGGAGCCCAGTGGCGCCAGCTCCATCACCTGCAGGAGGGAACACCGCGCCGCGTGAGCCGGACCCATTGGACCCTGGCCGCCCACGCTCCTGCCGCACGGCTGTCCCGGGAACCAGCGGCTGGATCTGCTCACCATCTGCAGAGGCTGGCCCAGTACAAGGCCGTGCAGACGCAGCACGTGTGGGTGCTCCAAGTTCATCATGACCGATACCTCTCGCAGGAAGTCCCCCAGTTCTGTGCCCATCGGGCCTTCGGGACCTACCCGGAGGGACTTGACAGCCACTGGGACCTGGAGGTGGGGGGAAGCGCCTTTAGGCATTGCGGGCATGAAGAACAGAGGGGGCAGCTGGCCTGGATGAAGCGGGCTCCCTGGACACTCACACTCTTGCCACTGGGCAGCGTCCACAGCCCTCGGTGCACCACACCGAAGCAGCCTGAACCCAGCAGCTCCCCTCTGCAAACAGCACCCTCTGGGATCAGACACTTGAGGCCCCCCTCTGGCTCAGGGAGGTGCCGTGGGCTGTCCGAGGGCAGGGTGGGCTCCTTGTGCTCAGGGGCAAAACCTCCAAGGATCTGAAACAGGGATGGGAAATCCGGTATGCAGAGCCCTGCGCCCCCCTCCCTGCCCCTCAAGCCACCTCATTCCCAGGCCCAAGCTGCCCACCTACAACACACACCTTGTAGACCCAGTTCTTAGACTTAGGCCCAGAACGTAGCCTTTTCAGAGCTTCGGACAGTCTGCGCTGGGCTGTGGGAGGCCAGAATCAGGGCTGGAGTGGAGGTGGGTGTGGGGAAGAGTGCGGAGAGACTTACAGGGAAGAAAAGGGCTGGAAGAGGGTTGTGGTGGGGGAAGGCAACTGATAGGCTGTGGACAGAGAGACCAGGGCCTCGGGGCAGGGGTCCCTCACCAGGCCGGCCCATGCCAATGCCGTCCAGGTCCTCAGGCTTTACAAAGTCGAAGTGCTCTGGCCGAGTGACATTAAGCTCCTCAAGGATGGGCCAGTAAAACTGGGCCAACTGGATGTCCCGGAGCAGCTTCAGTAGCCACAGGGAGCCAGCCTCAGGAAGCATGTCTGGAGAAGGAGTTCCTAAGGATGATGGCACTCTCCTTCAGATGGTGAGCTCAGGGTAGGCCCTAGAGAGACCAGGTCTCCAGCTCCACCTGCAAGTCATTAGAAACACTCAGGTACAGAGGCAGGGACACAGCAGAGACAGCCAGGATCCCTGCCACTCACGCACACAAATCCCAGATAGAATGTTCCCCGTGCCCAGGCATCCGGGTACTCTGTCCCTTCACCGCTGAGTAACCTGCCCTGCTCACACCTGCAATTTTAGCATACTGCCTGCTCCTACTACAGACTCCAGGTATGTTACCATCCTGACTCTGAAATATCACGGCACATCACACACCCGGACACCCAGAAACACTGCCCTTTTAGACCTGAGCTACGCAGTGGCACAAACTCACTCATACACACCTGAGACGACATCTCCCTTCCTCCAACATGAGACATCTCCCTTCCTCCAACATGAGACATGTTTGCCTACCACACACACTGGAGATGCTCAGATATGACAACCACACCATACCTCAGACATGTAGGTAGAGCACGCACACACACGAAGGTACACTGCCTCCCACATGCTGCCACACACACACACTGAGACCTACAGATATACTGCAAAACATGGCCGAGACTCCCAAATACATGTCCTCTTTTTTTTTTTTTTTGAGACGGAGTCTCGCTCTGTCATCTAGGCTGGAATGCAGTGGCGTGATCTCAGCTCGCTGCAACCTCCGCCTCCCGGGTTCAAGCAATTCTTCTGCCTCAGCCTCCCAAGTAGCTGGGACTACAGGCGCGTGCCACCATGCCCGGCTATTTTTTGTATTTTTAGTAGAGATGGGGTTTCACCATATTGGCCAGGCTGGTCTTGAACTCCTGACCTCGTGATCCGCCCGCCTCGGCCACCCAAAGTGCTGGGATTACAGGCGTGAGCCACTGCGCCCGGCCGATATATGTCGTCTTAACGCTGAGACATTTCAGCATGCGGCCACAAAACGCCCAGGCTCATCTGTGTCCTTCCATGAGATGTTCCTTGTACATACGTGTCACATCCATGGGACATGGCAGTTCACTGCCTCCAAACACCTAGATACACTGCCCCACACGGCTAAGACACAAAGGTCCACATGAACACAACACACAGACATCGAGGTACAGTGTGCACACAGCATACCTGAGCTATGGGGGCATAGGGACCCCTCAAGCCAAAAGAGGTCCACAGTCATTGCCTCTCCTCCACCGGAGGCAGCAACATTTGAAATCAAATCAGGCACTTGTGATGGCCGCTAGGCTTAGGTGCTGCCTATGGAGCCACTGAGGCTGTCAGGTACACAGTCCCACACCTACCTGAGCTCAGCCCCAGGCACAGATGCCTGCTGGCAGCCTGAGTCACTCGGTCTAACTTGGCTTCAAGGCAACTCCACCAACCTTTGTTAAATAAGGCTCTGGGCCTCTGGGTACTGGCAGCCTGCTCACACTTTCCCTAGCACACTCCTGGACCCGTCCCTTCCCCTACATTATAAGCAAGGAGGAAGAAGAGGATCGAGGCTGGGCCTAGTTGGAAACGCGCAGGTGGACTCAGAACCGGGCGCGAACAGGGTTGGGTTGGGAAGGAGAAAGCCCAGGACCCTGGGGGACCCGGCCCTGCGCGCTCGGTGGGAAGCGGGGAGCGCAGAAGGGAGACAGGAGGAAGCGCGGCTGCGGGAGGGAAGGACGCAGGAGAAGAGGACAGGCCCAGCGCCCCCCGGACGCGCCCCCAGCGACGGCTGCTCCGCCGGCTCTCCCCAGCCCGGGCCCCCTGCTCGGTCCGGACCCTCACCTGGTCAAGGCGGAAGCGGCGACTGCGGAACCTCCCAGGCTGCCTGGGCTAAATCCGAGGAGGCGGGACAGGAGTAAATCCCGCGGAGGGCGGGGACCTGGCCGCTGGCCCGGGGCCGGCGAGGGCCGCACCCCGAGTTCCCTAGTGGGACAAGGTGACGGTCCCCAGGGCGACTGGCGGCCCCTCCCTCCTCCAGACCAGATCGCCCCGACTGTGAGAAGCCCCCTTCCCTTCTCCTCTGCTCGTCTTCCTTCACGTCTTTCCAGCCTTCTCCGAATAGCTTCCCAGCCCTCCCCAGACTTCACTCCTCTGTCTCTGTCCCCCATGCCCTCTCGCCAAATCCTTCACCTCTCAGCCAGGACCCTACCTCTTACATGAATAAGCGCCCGATAGAGCTATCCTGTCCACGCACAGGGAATATAAGGCTAAATAGGACACAGTTCCTGCCCCATGGCAGGGGGTTCAGAGCTTCCTAGCAGGCTTTACTTAATGAACCCTGGAATGGGGCCAGGGCAGAGAGATGTTGATGCTGGTACGGAGAGTTGGCCCTGGCCTAGACAGAGTCTACAGTTGAAGCTGTTGTTGATCACCGGCAGCATTCCATGCCTCAGGGCACGCTTCCCCATTACTGACACTCCTGGGCTTCCTTCCAGCGTAACGCCTGCTCTCCATGCAAGCTCTGCAGAACTCAGGGCCCTGCACACTGCTACCTAGCCTGTGGCCACTGGGACTAAGTCCAGGACCTTGAAGAAGGCCCTGAGGAGGACCATTTGTCTCCGCTTCTCTCAGGGGTCCCAGAGAGGAAGCTGCCAGTCTTAGGACATCTAGTCTGTCCCCTGTCCCAAGGAAGGACGCGTGAACATAGCAGCTGCTGTCCCAAGGGTCCCTTGGAGGGAAAAGCCCTCCTGGTCTTGGTAAACATGTAGGATGTTTGATCCCAACTGCCACCTCCACGTTTCCCAGCCTCGGGTCCTCTTCTTCCTCCTTGCTTATAATGTGGGGTAAGGGAGGGGTCCAGATGTCTGTAAGGGAAAGTGTGAGCAGGCAGCCAGTACCCAGAGACCCAGAGCCTTATTTAATAAAGGCTGGTGGAGTTGCCTTGAAACCAAGTTAGACCGAGTGACTCTCAGGCTGCCAGCAAGGATCTGTGCTTGGGGGCCAGTCCCTGTGTGGATCCTACGTGGGATAGGAAAATCTTCATAATGCTGTTCTATGGTATTGTTTTCTTGCCGATTCTTTTGCCCTCCAACCAGGATCGCTCATCACACTATAATTGTTACTGCACATCTGCGATCCCTGTTAGAGGTTCTGTAGCTCCACAGGGTAGGGGCTGGGCCTGGCTTGTTCATACTTGTGTTCTAAGTACCTAGGACAGTGTGGGCATATAATAGGCCTGATACATGTTGGTTGTAAAGAAGTCTCCTCAGTCTAATCCTCATTGTTGTGTAGATGATCTCTTTTTACTCCCTGCTTTTAAGATATCATTGGTGTTTTGTAGTTTTGTCACAATGTATCTAGATGTTTATTTATTCTATTTATTCTGCTCAATATGTTGTACTTCCTGTATGTATGAATTCACATCTTTTATCGTATTTTATCATATTGGAAAGTTCTCAGAAACCATCCAGATATTATTTTTCCTCTGTCCTCTGTGCTCTCTCCTTTGCCAACTCTGATTAGGAGTGTTCTAGACCTTTTCATTCTGTACTCTGTGTCTTTTAACCTGTCTCCTGTATCTTTCATCTCTTTGTGTCTTGGTGATACATTCAGGTAATCTCTTCCAGTCTGTCTTCCAGTTCACTAATTCTCTCTTTGGTTACATCTGATGTGCTGTTTAATCCTTACATGGAAGGGTTTTTTAATTTTATTTTTTGGTTGTTGTTATACTCATATGAAAATTACTCTACTTGGCCAGGCACAGTGGCTCACACCTGTAATCCTAGCACTTTGGGAGGCTGAGGCGGGTGGATCACGAGGTCAGGAGATGGAGACCATCCTGGCTAACACGGTGAAAACCCCGTCTCTACTAAAAATACACACACACAAAAAAATTAGCCGGGCCTGGTGGCAGGCGCCTGTAGTCCCAGCTACTCGGGAGGCTGAGGCAGGAGAATAGCGTGAACCCAGGAGGTGGAGCTTGCAGTGAGCCGAGATTGTGCCACTGCACTCCAGCCTGGGTGACAGAGAAAAAAAAAAAATTACTCTACTTTTTTTCCTTTTTTTGAGACAAGTCTCGCTCTGTAGCCCAGGCTGGAGTGCAGTGGTGCAATCTTGGCTCACTGCAACCTCCACCTCCCAGGTTCAAGCGATTCTTCTGCCTCAGCCTCCCAAGTAGCTGTGATTACAGGCACCCGCCATCATGCTGGTCTTGAATTCCTGACCTCAGGTGATCCGCCCACCTCAGCCTCCCAAAGTGTTGGGATTACAGGCGTGAGCCACCGTGCCCGGCCGAAAATTACTCTACTTTCTTTTCTTTTTTTTTTTTTTTTGAGACGGAGTTTCATTCTTTTGCCCAGGCTGGAGTACAGTGGCACGATCTCGGCTCACTGCAACCTCCGCCTTCCGGTTTCAAGCGATTCTCCTGCCTCAGCCTCTGGAGTAGCTGGGATTACAGCCGCACCACCACGCCCAGCTAATTTTTGTATTTTTAGTAGAGACAGGGTTTCACCATGTTGGCCAGGCTGGTCTCAAATTCCTGACCTTGTGATCTGCCCACCTCGGCCTCCCAAAGTGCTGGGATTACAGGCGTGGGCCATCATCATGCCTGGCCCTACTCTACTTTTCTTTTTCTTTCTTTCTCTTTCTTTCTTTCTTTCTTTCTTTCTTTCTTTCTTTCTCTCTTTCTTTCTCTCTCTCTTTCTTTCTTTCTTTTTTTTTTTTTTTGAGACAGAGTCTCTCTGTCGCCCAGGCTGGAGTGCAGTGGCACAATCTCGGCTTACTGCAACCTCCACCTCCCGGGTTCAAGCAGTTGCCTGCCTCAGCCTCCTGATTAGCTGGGACGACAGGCGCCTGCCACTATGCCTGGCTAATTTTTGTATTTTTTTAGTAGAGACGGGATTTCACCATATTGTCCAGGCTGGTCTTGAACTCCGGAACTCGTGATCCACCTGTCTCAGCCTCCCAAAGTGCTGGGAATCCAGGCATGAGCCACCGCGCCCGGCCCCTACTCTACTTCATTACACTATTTTACTGAGATATAATCTATAGTCAGTAACATGTACACATTTAACTGTATAATATGATGAATTTCAACAAATGTACACATCTATTAATGTGGCTAAAGATCCAGAACATTTCTTTCATCCCATAAAGTTCCCTTGTGTCTATTTTTAGTCAATTTCATCCCCCAGAAGGAACTACTACTCTGATTTTTAAAACCCAATGATCTGGCCGGGCGCGGTGGCTCACGCCTATAATCCCAGCACTTTGGGAGGCCGAGGCAGGTGGATCACCTGAGGTCAGGAGTTCAAGACCATCCTGGCCAACATGGTGAAACCCTGTCTCTACTAAAAATACAAAAATTAGCCAGGCATGGTGGCAGGCGCCTGTAATCCCAGCTACGTGGGAGGCTGGGGCAGGAGAATTGCTCCAACCTGGGAGGCAGAGGTTGCAGTAAGCCGAGATCATGCCACTGCACTCCAGCCTGGGCAACAGAGTGAGGCTTTGTCTCAAAAAAAAAAAAAAAAAAAAAAAATGCTGGGCTCGGTGGCTCAACCTGTAATCCCAGCACTTTGGGAGGCCGGGCGGATCATGAGGTGAAGAGATCGAGACCATCTTGGCCAACATGGTAAAAACCCATCTCTACTAAAAATACAAAAATTAGCTGGGCATGGTGGCATGTGCCTGTAATCCCAGCTACTTGGGAGGCTGAGGCAGGAGAATCACTTGAATCCAGGAGGCGGAGGCTGCAGTGAGCTGAGATTGCACCACTGCACTCCAGCCTGGTGACAGAGTAAGACTCCATTCACCCCGCCCCCACCCACACACACACAAAAAGGATTAAAAAAAAAAAAAACAATGATCACTTTACCTGCTCTAGATCTTATAAATGGAGTGCTTATTCAGTTTTTTTGTTTTTGGCTTATTTCACTCACCATAATCTTTTTGAGATTCATCTATGCTGTTGTGTATATTAGTAGTTATTTTTTATTATGAAGTAGTAGTTCATTATATAAATATATTACTTTTCAAATCTAGTATCCTAATGATGGATATATGAATTATTTTTATCCACTGGAGTTTTTTTTTTACAGCTTTATTGAGGTATAATTGACATTCAATAAACTGCCCATATTTAAAGCTTGTGATTTGATAAGTTTTGACAAATGTGTGCACTCATGAAACCATCACCATAACCACAGTAATGAACATATTGCCACCCCTAAAGTTTCCTTATGTCCCTTTGTAATCTCTTCTGCCCCTCGTTCCTCAGACAACCACTGATCTGTTTCTGTCACTCTAGACTAGCTTGCATTTCCTAGAAGTTTATGTAAATAGAATCCTACAGTATGCATTCTTTTTTGCCTGCCTTCTTTTACTCAGAATAACTATTTTGAGATTCATTCATGATATTGTATGTATCATCAGTATTCATCCCCTTTTAGTGCCGAGTAGTATTCCATTGTATGGATGTATCATAATTTGTTTATACATTCACCTGTTGATAAACATTTGGGTTGTTTCTAGTTTTCGCCCATTATGAATAAAGCTGCTGTGACCACTCTCTTTAAGTCTTTGTGTGGACATATGTTTCCCTTTGTCTTTGGTAAATACCTAGGAGTGGAATGTCTGGGTCATAAAATTAGTATGTTTAATTTTTTTTTTTTTTTTTGAGACAGAGTCTCGCTCTGTCGCCCAGGCTGGAGTGCAGTGGTGCCAACTCAGCTCACTGCAAGCTCAGCCTCCCGGGTTCATGCCGTTCTCCTGCCTCAGCCTCCCAAGTAGCTGGGACTACAGGTGCCCACCACCATGCCCAGCTAATTTTTTTTTGTATTTTTTAGTAGAGACGGGGTTTCATCATGTTAGCCAGGATGGTCTCGATCTCCTGACCTCATAATCCGCCTGCCTCGGCCTCCCAAAGTGCTGAGATTACAGGCGTGAGCCACCGCACCTGGCCAGGTATGTTTAATTTTTTAAGAAACCAAAAAAACTGTTTTCCAAAGTGGTTTTACCATTTCATTTCATTTATTTATTAAAATAAAAAAAGGTTTTTTTTGAGACGGAGTTTTGCTCTTGTTGCCCAGGCTGGAGTGCAGTGGTGCCATCTCGGCTCACTGCAACCTCTGCCTCCTGGGTTCAAGCGATTCTCCTGCCTCAGCCTCCTGAGTAGCTGCAATTACAGGTATGTGCCACCATGCCCAGCTAATTTTTTGTATTTTTAGTAGAGACGGGGTTTAATCATGTTGACCAGGCTGGTCTCGAACTCCTGACCTCAGGTGATCCACCCACCTCGGCCTCCCAAAGTGCAGGTGTCAGCCACCGTGCCTGGCCAAGAAAAAATTTTTTTGAGACAAAGTCTCACTCTGTCGCCCAGGCTGGAGTGAAGTGGTGCCATCTTGTCTCACTGCAACCTCCATCTCCTGGGTTCAAATGATTCTCCTGCCTCAGCCTCCCGAGTAGCTGGGACTACAGGTGCGAGCCACCATACCCAGCTAATTTTTGTATTTTTAGTAGAGATGGGGTTTTGCCATGTTGGCCAGGCTGGTCTTGAACTCCTGACCTTAAGTGATCTGCCCGCCTCAGCCTCTCAAAGTGCTGGGATTACGGGTGTGAGCTACCGCGCCTGGCTATTTATTTATTTATTTATTTATTTATTTATTTATTTATTTGAGACGGAGTCTCGCTCTGTCACTCAGGCTAGAGTGCAGTGGCGTGATCTCGGCTCACTGCAAGCTCCACCTCCTGGGTTCATGCCATTCTCCTGCCTCAGCCTCCCGAGTAGCTGGGACTACAGGCACCCACCACCAGGCCCAGCTAATTTTTTTTGTGTTTTTAGTAGAGACGGGGTTTCACTGTGTTAGCCAGGATGGCCTTGATCTCCTGACCTCATGATCCACCCGCCTCGGCCTCCCAAAGTGCTGGGATCACAGGTGTGAGCCATCACACCCGGCCTATTTATTTATTTATTTTTAGCAAGAAAGTCTCACTCTATCAACCAGGATGGAGTGCAGTGGTATGATCATAGCTCACTGTAGCCTCAAACTCCTGGGCTTAAATGATCCTCCCACCTCAGCCTCCCAAGTACCTGAGGCCATGGGTGCATGCCACAATGCCTGGCTAATTTTTTTTTTAATTTTTAGTAGAGATAAGGTCTCACTGTGTTGCCCAGGCTAGTCTCAAACTCTTGGCTTTAAGCAATCCTCCTGCCTCTGCCTCCCCAAATGCTGGGATTACACATGTGAGCTGCTGCATCCAGCTGGTTGTACCATTTCAAAGTCTTCCCAGCAGAGTATGAAAGTTCCAGTTGCTCTACATCTTCAGCAACACTTTCTAATTTTAGCCATTCTAGTCAGTGCCATAGTGATATCTCATTGTGGTTTTTTGTTTGTTTGTTTAGATGGAGTCCTGCTCTGTAGTCCAGGCTGGAGTGCAGTGACATGATATCAGCTCACTGCAACCTCTGCCTCCCAGGTACAAGCGATCCTCCTGCCTTGGCCTCCCAAGTAGTTGGGGCTACAGACATGTGCCACTATGCCCAGCTAATTTTTGTATTTTTAGTAGCAACGGAGTTTCACCATGTTGGCCAGGCTAATCTTGAACTCCTGACTTCAGATGATCCACTTGCCTTGACCTCCCAAAGTGCTGGGATTACAGGCGTGAGCCACTGCACCCAGCCATCATTGTGGTTTTACTTTGCATTTGTCTAATGATTAATGTGTTCAGTATCTTTTCATGTGCTTATTTGCCATCCATGTACCTTTATTTATTTATTTATTAGACGGAGTCTCACTCTTTTGCCCAGGCTGGAGTGAAGTGGGGCAATCTTGGCGCACAGCAACCTCCGCCTCCCGGGTTCAAGCGATTCTCTTGCCTCAGCCTCCTGAGTAGCTGGGATTACAGGCATACCCCACCATGCCTGGCTAATTTTTGTATTTTTAGTAGAGATGGGGTTTTGCCACGTTGGCTAGGCTGGTCTCGAGCTCCTGACCTTAGGTGATCCACCCGCCTTGGCCTTCCAAAGTGCTGAGATACAGGTGTGAGCCACCATGCCTAGCCCCTTTTATTTTCTTAACAGTGTCTTTGGAAAATAAAAAGTTTTAAATTTGGGTGGAGTCTAATTTATTCATTTTTTTCTTTTAGTGCTTTTTGTGTCAATTTAAGAGTATTTTTGGGGGGCTGGGCATGGTGGCTCATGCCTGCAATCCCACACTTTGGGAGGCCGAGTGGGTGGATCACCTGATGTCAGGAGTTCAAGACCAGCCTGGTCAACATGGTGAATCCCTGTCTCTACTAAAAATATGAAAATTAGCTGAGTGTGGTGGCGCATGCCTGTAATCCCAGCTACTTGGGAGGCTGAGGCAGGAGAATCGCTTAAACCTGGGAGGTGGAGGTTGCAGTGAGCCGAGATTGTGCCACTGCACTCCAGCCTGGGCGACAGAGCGAGACTCTGTCTCAAAAAAAAAAGAGTTTTTCTTAAACTTCAGCAATTACATTTTTCATGTCATTTTTTCAGCCAAAGATACTTTTGTCTCTTTAATGTCCCTGGTCATCTTTTATAGTCTTCTGTTGCTTTATTATTTTTTAAAAAATTAATTAATTGTGCCAGGAGCTGTGGCTCACATCTGTAATCCCAGCACTTTTGGGAGGCTGAGGCTGGAAGATCGCTTGAGCCTAGGATTTTGAGACTAGCCTATGCAACATGATGAAATTCTGTCTCTACAAAACATAACAAAAATTAGCCGGGCATAGTGGCAAGCACCTGTAGTCCCAGCTACTCAGGAGGCTGAGGCAGCAGAATTGCTTGAAACCAGGAGGTGGACATTGCAGTGAGCTAAGATCCTGCCACTGCATTCCAGCCTGGGCGACAGAGCGAGAGCCTGTCTCAAATAAAACCAAATAGTAATTAATTAATTGTTTCGGCTGGGTGTGATGGGTCATACCTGTAATCCCAGCACTTTGGGAGGCCCAGGTGGGAAGATTGCTTGAGGCCAGGAGTTCAAGACCAGCCTGGGCGAAATAGTGAGACCCCTGTCTCTACAAAAATAAAATTAAAAATTAGTCAAGCCTGGTTGCATGCACCTGTAGTCCCAGTTAGTTGGGAGGCTGAGGTGGGAGGATCGCTTGAGCCCAGGAATTTGAGGCTTCAGTGAGCCATGACGGTGCCATCACACTCCAGCCTGGGCCACAGAGCAAGAACTTGTTTCAAAGAAAAAAAAGAAAAAGAGAGAGAGAGGAGCTATGTTGCCCAGCCCAGGCTGATTCAAACTCCTGGACTCGGCCCAGCATGGTGGCTCATGCCTGTAATCCCATCATTTTGGGAGGCCAAGGCGGGAGGATCGCTTGAGGCCAGGAGTTTGAGAATAACCTGGGCAACAAATGATTCTCTCACCTCAAATCAACCTCCTGAGGAACTGGGACTACACCACAGGTGTGTGCCACCGTGCCCAGCTTTCTTTTTGTTTTCTTTTTTCTTTCTTTCTTTTTTTTTTTTTTGGACAAGGTTTTGCTCTGTGGCCCAGGCTAGAGTACAGTGATGCGATGTGATCATAGCTCACTGCAGCCTCAAACTCCTGGGCTCAATTGATCCTCTCACCTCAGCTTTCTAAGTAGCTCAGATTACAGGCATGCACCACCATGTCCAACTAATTTTTTATTTTTAGTTTTGTATAGATGGGATCTTGTTGCTTTCTCATTTTTCATTTCACATTCTCTCTTTTGGTTGTTGTTTTCTTTTTTTTTTTTTGGTTTTGGGAGTGTTTTTTTGTTTTTTTTTTTGAGACAGTGTCTCACTCTGCCTCCCAGGCTGGCATGCAGTGGCATGATCTTCGCTCATTGCAGCCTCTGCCTCCCAGGTTCAAGGGATTCTTGTGCCTCAGCCTCCTAAGGATTACAAGTGTGCGCCACCACGCCTGGCTAATTTTTGTATTTTTAGCAGAGATGGGGTTTCACCATGTTCGGCAAGGCTGGTCTTGAACTTCTGACCTCAGGTAATCCACCTGCCTTGGGCTCCCAAACTGCTGGGATTACAGGTGTGAGCCACCACGCCCAGCCCTTTTTTTTTTTTTGAGACGGAGTCTCGCTCTGTCACCCGGGCTGGTGTGCAGTTGCGTGATCTCAGCTCACTGCCACCTCTGCCTCCTGGGTTCAAGCGATTCTTCTGCCTCAGCCTCCTGAGTAGCTGGGACTACAGGCATGCGCCACCTCAGCCTTCCAAAGTGCTGGGATTATAGGTGTGAGCCACCGCGCCCGGCCCTTTTTTTTTTTTTTTTAAATAAGTAGAGATGGAGTCTCATTATATTGTCAAAGCTGGTCTTAAACTCCTGAGCTCAAGCAATCCTCCTACCTCGGCCTCCCAAAGAGCTGAGATTGCAGGTATGAGCCACCATGCCTGGCCTATTCCACATTTTCTTTTCTTTTTTTTTTTTTTTTGAGGGGGAGTCTTGCTCTGTTGCCCAGGCTGGAGTGCAGTGGCGCAATCTCATCTCACTGCAAGCTCTGCACTCCCGGGTTCAAGCCATTCTCCTGCCTCAGCCTCCCAAGCAGCTGGGACTACAGGTGCCTGCCACCATGCCCAGCTAATTTTTTTGTATTTTTTTAGTAGAGATGGGGTTTCACCATGTTAGCTAGGATGGTCTCGGTCTCCTGACCGTGTGATCCACCTGCCTTGGCCTCCCAAAGTGCTGGGATTACAGGTGTGAGCCGCTGCGCCCGGTCTCCACATTTTCTTTAATTCTTCATTCATAGTTTTGTTTTTATTCCAATTTTTAATATCCTTACAGATCTAAATTTATAGTCATTGTTTCTGCTGACTCTCATTCACGGTGGATTGTTTCCTTGTGTGTCTATGATTGTGAAATTATATTACATTTTATTATATTTTATTTTCTCTTAGAGATAGGTCTTGCTATGTTGCCCAGGCTAAAGGGCAGTGGCTATTCACAGGCACAATTATAGTGTCCTGCAGTCTCAAGCTCCTGGGCTTCAGGGATCCTCCTCCTCAGCCTCCCGAGTAGCTGGGACTATGGGTATGTACCACTGTACACAGTTTAATATTATATTTTATTGATCTTAATCTGTAGGAATTCCAAGTGCCTAAATTTGAGATGTTTTACTCCAGAGAGAAATTTCATTTGCTTCTGCCAGATGCCAGAGGTTGCAAACAACTTGAGACAGTTTTAGCTTCTTTCAGGAGTCCCAGATTAATGCAGGAGTCTCAGTTCAGCTTCCTTACCTTGCAGTGGGTTTACAAATTAGCATGCGATCCTCCCGCCTCAGCCTTCCAAGGAGCTAGGACTGCAGCTGCGCACAACGAGTACTGTCCAAAGCAGGTTCTCAGTACATGTTATTAGGTGAATAAGTCCATAAAATAATTAATGAAAGCAGTAGCTCTCATGTAAGGAAGAACTGAGGGGGCCTTGGGAATGCAAAGAAGTGGGTGAATGTTCTCACTGGGCTGAATAAAACCATGAAGGCAGACTTCAAGAAAGAGGCAGAAATGGCCAGGCAAGGTGGCTCACACCTGCAATCCCAGCACTTTGGGAGGCCGAGGTGGGTGGATCACCTGAGGTCAGGAGTTCGAGACCAGCTTGGTCAACATGGTGAAACCCTGTCTCTACTAAAAATATAAAAATTAGCCGGGTGTGGTGGCGGGCACCTGTTATCCCAGCTACTCAGGAGGCTGAGGCAGGATAATCGCTTGAATCTGGGAGGCGGAGGTTGTAGTGAGCCGAGATTGCACCACTGCGCTCCAGCCTGGGTGAAAAGAGCAAAACTCTGTCTCAAATAAATAAATAAATAGGTAGTAGCACTTGAGCTGAGCCCTGAAGGACAGGTCAGATGTTGCTAAGCCTTCTAGGCTGAAGGGATGGAATGAGCAAAGTCCAAGTTCTTGGTAGGAAAAACACAGTCTTTCCATGAGCTTCTTCAGGGAAGATCATGTGAAATCTGACTTTCCTTTGAACACCCAGTGTACTCTGGGAAGTACTAGAGGTCATCTGAGAATTGAATGAACGTGAGGCTAGGGCACATGGGGAGAGATGAAGGCAGATGTAGCCAGAGAGGCGGGAGCCGGAGCAGGCATTGATTCATCCCTCTAGCAAACTTTGACTGAGTCTCTACTCCGTGCCAGGTTCTGGGAACCCAGGTGAACAAGCAGACACAATCTCCCCCAGGGGAGCTTCATTCTAGAGGGCCTGCAGAACATGGTAAGGAGCTTGGGCCTTACCTGAGGGCTCTGAGGAGTTGTCTTACACAGGGGAGTGACAGAATCAGCCTGCTGTGGAGACCGGGAGAGGGCGAGGGGGAAGCAGGAGGTAAAGCGGAGGGGCACTGACGACTGGATTAGGAGAGTGAGACTGGCCTGCTGAGGCCCTGCTTATGGAGTGATAAAAAGGAAAAAAAAAACATATTTTAATACTCTCACATACCATTGTGACACCAGATGTGTGGGTTTTTTCCCCGTGCCAAGCAATTCTCCAATTCTCTGCAGACATCAACTGGGTGTCCTATAATTTAATTCGGTTCTGGCACTCAGTACCTAGTTAGTGCAGACCCCTATTTAAGGGCTCATTCTCACAGACTGCCCCTGACTTCAGATGCCAACTGCTCCTCCGAGCCTTCTGTCCTTCTCACTGACCAGTTAGAACTCAGGGGTCCCCACGACCCCTACCTTGGGTTGAATAATTTGATAGAATGGCTCACAAAACTGAGGGAAACATTTACTTACATTTACCAGTTTGTTTTAAAGGATATTACAGGGCAGGCAGGGTGGCTCACGCCTGTAATCCCAGCACTTTGGGAGGCCGAGGTGGGCAGATGGCTTGAGCTCAGGAGCTTGAGACCAGCCTGGGCAACATGGTGAAACCACGTCTCTACAAAAAATACAAAAATTAGCTGGGAAAAAAGGTCAGCCGCAGTGGCTCACACCTGTAATCCTAGCACTTTGGGAGGCCAAGACGGGCAGATCACTTGAGGTCAGGAGTTCGAGATTAGCCTGGCCAACATGGTGAAACCCCATCTCTATTAAAAATACAAAAATTAGCCAGGCCTGGTGGCACATGCCTGTAATCCCAGCTACTCAGGTGGCTGAGGCAGGAGAATCGCTTGAACTCAGGAGGCGGAGGCTGAAGTAAGCCAAGATCGCACCACTGCACTCCAGCCTGGGCAACAGAGTGAGACTCTGTCAAGAAGGAAGGAAGGAAAGAAAGAAGGAAGGAAGGAAGGGAGGGAGGGAGGGAGGAAGGAAATTACATCACAAAGGATACAGATGAATAACCAGGTGGATGAGTTGCTTCCAGCAAGGTTTGCAGGAGGGGTATGCAGCTTCCGTGCCCTCTCTGGGCATGACATCCTCCCAGCGCCTCCAAGCCTTCTCCGACCTGGAAACTCTCTGAACTCCATTGTTTGGGGTTTTTATAGAAGCTCCATTATGTAGCATGATTGATTAAATCATCGGCCTTGGTAATTGAACTCACTCTTCAGCTACTCCCCGCTACGTGGAGGCTGGGGAGGGGGTTGAAAGTTCCAACCCTCTAATCACATGGTTGGTTCCTCTGGCAACCAGCCCCCATCCTCCAAGAGTCACCCCATCAGCATCAGCTCAGGTATGGTTGAAAGGGGCTTATGAATAACAACAGATGCTCCTGGCACCACTGTCACTCAGGAAATTCCAAGGGTTACAGGAGCTCTGTGCCAGAGACCAGGGTAAATATCAAATATATATTTCTTATTATATCACAGCATCACAGATGGAGGGGAGGCCGAGGAGACGGGGCACCGTGGGTTGGACTCCAGGCTCAGGTCCCCTTCACCCTATCTTGCCCCAGCAGGAAACCGGAGGCGGAGACTCAAGCATGCTTTTAGCTTGGGCTTGGGAAAAAAAATCCAGGGAATTAGAAGCCTTTTTTTTTTTTTTTTTGAGATGGAGTCTCGCTCCTGTTGCGCCTGGCTCACTGCAACCTCCACCTCCTGGGTTCAAGCGATTCTCCTTCCTCAGCCTCTCGAGTAGCTGGGATTACAGGCATTGCACCACCATACCTGGCTAATATTTTTTGTATTTTTAGTAGAGACGGGGTTTCGCCATGTTGGCCAGGCTGGTCTTGAACTACTGACCTCAGGTGATCCACCCGTCTCGGCCTCGCAAAGTGCTAGGATTACAGGCGTGAGCCACTATGCCTGGCCTAGAAGACTTTTTATTTCTCCCCTTCTTCCTGTTTATTTCTTACTTTTTTTTTTTTTCCAAATGGAGTCTCGCTCTGTCACCCAGGCTGGAGTGCAGTGGCATGATCTCAGCTCACTGCAACCTCTACCTCCCAGGTTCAAGCGATTCTCCTGCCTCAGCCTCCCAAGTAGCTCAGACTACAGGCACCTGCCACCATGCCAGACTAATTTTTGTATTTTTAGTAGAGACGGGGTTTCACCGTGTTGGTCAGGCTGGTTTTGAACTCTTGACCTCACCTGCCTCAGCCTCCCAAAGTGTTGGGATTACAGGCGTGAGCCACCGCACCGGCCTATTTTTTACTTTTGGATTTAAGTTTCTCCCATCCCCACCTTTGCCCATAAAGAGGGTGGGATGTAGGGGAAGCACAGCCCGGCCATCCTAATCGCTGTTAGGGAGCATCTCCTTCAGGCTGGAATGCAGCACCCATTAACACTTAAACCTGGAGACCCAGATGGGGCACCGCCCACTCCAACTGCCCTTCCCTAACCTCTGCCCTGCCCCGCAGGCTCTGCATCTGGGAATGAGGACCACATTCACAGCAGCAGGGCCAATTCTTCCCCTACAGGGGAAGATAAGCAGAGAGGGTACTCGGCTGCCTGGCTGCCCTCACCACCTTGGATGGGGGTGGGATGGGAGAAGCACAGGTTGAGTGAGGCCCATTCCTGTGCAGAGGCCTCTCCATGCCAGTGAGGAACTACATTGGTACCTCCTTAGCTTCTCCTTCCCTGCTCTGATCCTGAGATCACCCAGCTCTCCCCCTTCCACCATCCACAAGCCAGGCTTTCAACAGGGGAAAGCACCTCAGCATCTTGGCTCGCTCTCCCCTGAGCCTCTGCATGGCTGTTCCCTCTGCTGAGAAAAGTCTTCCCAATCTGGCCTACTCTTGTCTCACTTGCTAAATGCAAGACACCTATCCCTGGCCGGGCGCAGTGGCTCACGCCTGTAATCCCAGCACTTTAGGAGGCTGAGGTGGGTGGATCACCTGAGGTCAGGAGTTCGAGACCAGCCTGGCCAACATGGTGAAACCCCGTCTCTACTAAAAATACAAAAATTAGCTGGGCATGGTGGCGTGTGCCTGTAATCGCAGCTACTCTGGAGGCTGAAGCAGGAGAATCGCTTAAACCCAGGAGGCAGAGGTTGCAGTGAGCCGAGATCGCGCCACTGCACTCCAGCCTGGGTGACAGAGCAAGACTCCATCTCAAAAAAAAAAAAAAATTAGCTGGGCATGGTGGCGGGCGCCTGTAATCCCAGCTTCTCAGGAGGCTGAGGCAGGAGAATCACTTGAATCTGGAAGGCAGAAGTTGCAGTGAGCCGAGATCGTGCCACTGCAATCCAGCCTGGATGACGGAGTGAGGCTCTGTCTCAAAAAAACAAATCAAAACAAAAAAAACACCTATCCCTGACTGCTCTGGTGTCTTCCTCTGCACCTCAAGTCCCCCGTGCTTTCCTGTCATTGCACTCATCACTCTGGTAGAATTTGCCAGTAACTTGTCTCCCCTGCTAGACTCTAAGCTCCAGGTAGCCAAGGACCTTATCTTGCCCGGCCATTATTATGTCTCCCCCGTTCAGTCTATCGCCTGACTTACATGCTACGTGCTCAGTGACATTTCCTGAACGAATGGATGAGACAGAGTCATCTGAATTGAGTGAAGCAAAGGAGAGGTTTGTAATTAAGAGCTCCTGTGCCGGAAGTGATGGGAATGGCAATCTCCAAACCTCACCAATAAGCACTCTTCTTCTGAACCCATCCATGAGGCCCTCCCACTTTGGTACTCCCTGGCCCTGCGCAGTCAGCTCTTCCCAGACCCTTGGGTACACCCTTCCTGTTCTTTTTTTTTTTTGAGATGGAGTCTCACTCTGTCACCCAGGCTGGAGTGCAGTGGTGTGGTCTAGGCTCACTGCAAGCTCCGCCTCCCGGGTTCACACCATTCTCCTGCCTCAGCCTCCCGAGTAGCTGGGACTACAGGCGCCCGCCACCACGCCCGGCTAATTTTTTGTACTGTTAGTACAGACGGGGTTTCACCGTGTTAGCCAGGATGGTCTCGATCTCCTGACCTCGTGGTCCACCCACCTCGGCCTCCCAAAGTGCTGGGATTACAGGCGTGAGCCACTGCGCCCGGCCCACCCTTCCTGTTCTGTCACCCCAACTTCATCTCCTAGGACCCTGAGTTCCCATCCATCCTTTCCCAATTTGCATTTGCTTCACTTGTGTTTACAATCATCAGCGCAACCCCTTGTACATATCTGCTGTTTTGCTTTCCAAAGTGGAAGCTCTCTCGTGCCCACCATGTTCCTTCAGGCTCACAGTGCATCTGAGATGCTTGACAGCACAGTGACTTAGGCCTCAACGCTGGATCTGCCTGCCTGTGTTCTATCCAGCTTTACCACTTAAAAGACTGTGAATCTGAACAAGTTACTTCTCATTTCTGTACCTCTGTTTCCTCATCTACAACATATGTCTATGAGGAGCATCTACTTTATGGGGTTATTGGAGAAGTAACTGTGTCCACATGTGCGGTAACCAGCCTCCAAAGTGGCTGCGGCTGCAACACCCCTCCGGGTATTCCTCCTGTTGTATAGTCCCTTCCCACAATGAATGGGGCTCATCAGTGTAATCATTGGGATTCCCATAGTACCTTCCCACAATGAATGGGGCTCATCAGTGTAACCAGTGGGATCCCCAGAAGGGATGGTGAGTGACTTCTGAGACAAGCCGTATAAGGCAGCATGGCTTCTGTCTGGCTCTCTTGGATCACTCCCTCTGGGGGAAGCCAGCCACCATGTCAAGAGGACACTGAAAGCCGGGCATGGAGGCTCATGCCTGCAATCCCAGCACCTTGGAGGCCAAGGCGGGAGGATCACTTGGGGTCAGGGGTTCGAGACCAGCCTGGCCAACATGGTGAAACCCTGTCTCTACTAAAAATACAAAAGTTAGCCGGACATGGTGGCAGGTGCCTGTAATCCCAGCTACTCGGGGGCTAAGGCAGAAGAATCGCTTGAACCTGGGAGGTAGAGGTTACAGTAAGCCGAGATCGCACCACTGCACTCCAGCCTGGGTGACAGAGCGAGACTCCGTCTCCAAAAAAAACTGCTTAGACTGTCTGACACGCTGTCACCGTACACATTAGTTATCATTAACTCCATTTTGCAGGCAGGAGGACTGAGGCTTAGGTTGCTGAAGTAATATCCCCCCGTGCACATGGCTAGGATGGACCCGGCCAGCCGTGTCATAAACCCAAGACATTTAGTGCCATGTCCTAGGCTCCTTTTTCTGTCCCACTGAACCAACTATCTGTTTTGAAGAAATAATACCTAGTGGCATAAAAAACACTGTTTGGGCCGGGCGTGGTGGCTCACGCCTGTAATCCCAGCACTTTGGGAGGCCAAGGTGGGCAGATCACGAGGTCAGGAGATCGAGACCATCCTGGCTAACCCGGTGAAACCCCATCTCTACTAAAAATACAAAAAAATGTAGCCAGTCGTGGTGGCAGGCACCTGTAGGCCCAGCTACTCGGGAGGCTGAGGCAGGAGAATTGCTTGAACCTGGGAGGCGGAGGTTGCAGTGAGCCAAGATTGTGCCACTGCACTCCAGCCTGGGAGACAGAGCGAGACTCCGTCTCAAAAAAACAAAACAAACAAAAAAAACACACTGTTTGATCATTGCCCTGGACTTCTTGAGTCAGGAATTCCAGCAGGACACTGTGGGGTTAATCTCTGCTTTACAATATCTGGTGTCTTGGAAAAATAAAAGTCTGGGGGTAACTGGACATCTGGGGGCTGTAATATCACTCATATGTGTGGCAGGAGATGCTGGCGTTTGGCTGGGACCCCTCATATGGACTCTTCCTGAAGTCTGGGCTTCCTCAGAGATGGTGACTAGGTTCCAGAGTGAGTCCCCAAGAGACAGAGAGTGGAAGGTGCCAGTTCCTTAAGGCGTGGGCCCAGAAAGTGGAGCAGTGTCACTTCTCCCACATTCCATTGGTCAGCCAGACACAGAGCCCAGATTCAAGGGAAGGATCCATAGAATCTGCCTCTCCATGGAAGGCAGGTCAGAGAGGATTTGGGGGCCACTTAAAAATGTTTCTGCACCCACAGCAGCCTCCCTTGTTTGGGAGGTGCTCAGAAATACCAGCCCTGTAGACCATATTCCAGTGGGCTGGCTTTATGTGCACAGAAAGAAACACAGGCCCGGTGCGGTGACTCACGCCTGTAATCCCAACAATTTGGGAGGCTGAGGTGGGCGGATCACTTGAGCTCAGGAGTTCAAGACCAGAATGAGCAACATAGTGAGATAGTCTCTACAAAAAAATTTCAAAATAGCTGGGCGTGGTGACATGTGCCCATAGTCCAGCTACTTGGGAGACTAAGGTAGGAGGATTGCTTGAACCGGGGAGGCCAAGGCTGCAGTGAGCTGTGATTGCACCAGTGCACTCCAGCCTGGGCTACAGAGTGAGGCCCTGTCTCAAAAAATAAATAAATAAATAAAATGCTTGGGACTGTGTCCCACATATACTGGCACTCACTCAGCATTAGCTGTTATAATATCTTGTTTAAATATATGCCTGGCCGGGCGCACTGGTTCACATCTGTAATCCCAGCACTTTGGGAGGCCAAGGTGGGAGGATCACCTGAGGTCAGGAGTTCGAGACTAGCCTGGCCAAAATGGTGCAACTCTGTCTCTACTGCAAATATAAAAATTAGCCGGGTATGGTGGTGCACACCTGCAGTCCCTGCTACTTGGGGGGCTGAGGCAGGAGAATCGCTTGAACCCGGAGGGCAGAGGTGGCAGTAAGCCGAGATCACTCCATTGCACTCCAGACTGGGCAGCAAAGTGAGACTCTATCTCAAAAAAAAAAAAAAAAAAAAAAAAAAAAAGACATGCCCTAGCTCTCTTCCTTGCCTGCAGTTTATAGACCTGGCTTTTTTTTTTTTTTTTTTTGAGACGAAGTCTTGCTCTATCTTCAGGCTGGAGTGCAGTGGCGTGATCTCAGCTCACTGAAACCTCCGCCTCCCGGGTTCAAGCGATTCCCCCACCTCAGCCTCCTGAGTAGCTGGGACTGCAGGCACGTGCCACCACACCCGGCTAATTTTTTGTATTTTAGTAGTAGAGACAGGGTTTCACCGTGTTAGCCAGGATGGTCTTGATCTCCTGACCTGGTGATACGCCCGCCTCAGCCTCCCAAAGTGCTGGGATACGGACGTAAGCCACCGCGCCCGGCCTGGCCTCTATTTACCCTGACATTCCAGGCTTTCCATCAGCAGCTCCCACTTGTTATATCTGCTCCTCAGGCCAGAGCTGTTCAAAGGTAGCCCTACCTGGAATCTCCACTTGAATGCCCCTGCCCGGGCATCTCAGATTCCATATGTTCAAGCTCACCTTCCTCCCTGAGCCCATCACTTCTCTGTGACCTCTCTGGAGCTTCGTGGCAGCGCCAACTGTACCCTGGACATTCTCTTCCTTCTTCTCTTCCTGCCATGCCCACATGCCCACTTCTCATCAGTAAGCAAGTGATCTACCTGTGTAATACTTCCTGGAATCTGGCCCCCACATGTCCCTGCGGCTTTATCTCTCAGCACTGCCCACCCAACGCACCCCCCACGGCCATACTGAATCACCTGTAGCTGCCCAAACACCTCCTGCTTTTTCATCTGTCATTGCCCAGGCTTGTCCTTATACCTGGGATGTCTTTCTCCTTTGGCTCAGGCACAACCTCTTCTGAGAATCCTTCTCTGAGCCCCTGGGGGTGTCCCTTCTCTAGACATCCCTCAGCTGTGTCACATCAAGGTGGTGGTGTTTCTTTACCAATCCATCTTCCCTCCAAACCATGCCCTGCCCTATTAAACCACCAGCTAACAGGTTTTTTGTTTGTTTGTTTGTTTGTTTTCGAGACCGAGTCTCGCTCCATCACCCAGGCTGGAGTGCAGTGGCATAATCTTGGCTCACTGCAACCTCCTACTCCTGGGTTCAATCGATTCTACTGCCTCAGCCTCCAGAGTAGCTAGGATTACAGGCACCTGCCACCACACCTGGCTAATTTTTGTATTTTTAGTAGAGATGTGGTTTCACCATGTTGGCCAGGCTGGTCTCGAACTCCTGACCTCAGGTGATCCAACCACCCTGGCCTCCCAAAGTCTGGGATTACAGGCATGAGCCACCGTGCCTACCCACCTAGTGGTTTTTTATCTTTGTTTCCACAGTGTTTGGCACATGGCAGACTCCAGGGTATGTCCTTGACAACCCCAGCCCCTTCTCTGAACCCTTGTGATATAAATTCCTCTAGTAAGCTCTTCCTGAGCATGTGGCATGAGAGGTTGGAGGAGTTTGTGTTTCTTTCTTTTTTTTTTTTTTAAGACAGGGTCTCACTCTGTCACCCAAGCTGGAGTGCAGTGGTGTGATGTCAGCTCACTTCAGCTTTGACCTCCTGGGTTCAAGCGATCTTCTCACCTCAGCCTCCTGAGTAGCTGGGACCACAGGCATGCGCCATCACACCCAGCTAATTTTTTTTTTTTTTTTTTTTTTGAGACGAAGTCTTGCTCATCCCCCAGGCAGGAGTGCAGTGGCGCGATCTCGGCTTGCTGCAACCTCCGCCTCTTGGGTTCAAGCAATTCTCCTGCCTCAGCCTCCCAAGTAGCTGGGATTACAGGCATGTGCCACCATGCCCAGTTAATTTTTGTATTGTTAGTAGAGACGGGGTTTCACCATGTGGGTCAGGCTGGTCTCGAACTCCCGACTTCGTGATTCACCCGCCTTGGCCTCCCAAAGTGCTGAGATTACAGGCGTGAGCCACTCGCCCGGCTGACACACCCAGCTAATTTAAATTTTTTTTTGTAGAGATGGGGGTCTCACTATGTTGCCTAGGCTGGTCTCAAACCCCTGGGCTCAAGCGATCCTCCTGCCTCGGCCTCCCAACATGCTGGGATTACAGGTGTAAGCCACTGTGCTTGGCCTCAAGCATTTTATATTAGCTTATTTAGACTTCACAGCAATCCCATAAGGTAACTACTACTGCATTTCATTGAATTTATCACGAATTTTAATATATCAATTGTAATATATACTATTATTTTATTTTTTAATATTTAAATTTTTTATTATTATTTTTTTGAAATGGAATCTTGCTCTACTGCCCAGGCTGGAGTACAGTGGCGTGATCTCAGCTCACTGCAACCTCTGCCTCTCGGGTTCAAGTGATTCCTCTGCCTCAGCCTCCTGAGTAGCTAGGATTACAGGCACCTGCTACCACTCCTGGCTAATTTTTGTATTTTTAGTAGAGATGGAGTTTCACCATGTTTTTCAGGCTGGTCTTGAACTCCTGACCTCAAGCAATCCACCCACCTCAGCCTCCCAAAGTGCCGGTTTTACAGGTGTGAGCCACCGTGCCCTGCTGATATACCATTATGTTATATACTGCTAAGAAAAAAATACTATCCACTAAGCCATGGCATACCTTCAGTTTAAGATGCATTCTGACTTCAGAGATGTTCAAATGTAAACAGATTAAAAACGTTATATAGAGTCAATAAAATACATTTACTGCATTTAAAAGATGAGGAGGCGAGGTGTGGTGGCTCACACCTGTAATCCCAGCACTTTGGGAGGCCGAGGCGGGCGGATCGCCTGAGGTCAGGAGTTCGAGACCATGCTGGCTAACACGGTGAAAACCCGTCTCTACTAAAAATATAAAAAATTAGCCCGGCGTGGTGCTGGGAGCCTGTAGTCCCAGCTACTTGGGAGGCTGAGGCAGGAGAATCGCTTTAACTAGGGAGGCAGAGGTTGCAGTGAGTGGAGATCGCGCCACTGCACTCCAGACTGGGCGACAGAGCGAGACTCCATCTCAATAAATAAATAAATAAATAAATAAATAAATAAATAAATAAATAAATAAAATAGAGAAAACAGGCACAGAGAGGTTAAATAACTTGCCCACGGTCCAGTAAGAGACAAAGCCAGGATTTGATTGAAACCAGGCAGCCCAACTCCAAAGCCCAAATTCTTAATCATCATTTGATGTGGGGCTGGGGGTCGTGAGCAGTGTGGAGTTTTCAGGGAGGCCAGCGCGGCCGCTGAGGGTGAAGAGCATTCCAGGAGAGCAGGCAGCCTGGTGGCGCCTCTGGGAGACTGGGATCCACTGTGAGAGGGTTCTGGGTGGGCTGGGGCTATGGAAGGATGGGACAGACAGGATAGAGATCCTTGAAAAATAGGCAGGACTGGCCGGGCATGGTGGCTCAGCACTTTGGGAGGCCGAGGCGGGCGGATCACTCGAGGTCAGGAGTTCCTGACCAGCCTGGCCAACATGGTGAAACCCCGTCTCTACTAAAAGTACTAAAAAAATTAGCCAGGCATGATGGCGTTGCCTGTAATCCCAGCTACTTGGGAGGCTGAGGCAGGAGAACTGCTTGAACCTGGAAGGTGGAGGTTGCAGTGAGCCAAGATCGCGCCACAGAAGTCCGGCCTGGGCATCGCAGCGAGACTCTGTCTCAAAAAAAAAAAAAATAGAAAGAAAGAAAGGAAGGAAGAAAGAAAGAAAGGGAGGGAGGGAGGAAGGAAGGAAGGAAGAAAGAAATGGGCAGGACTGGTTGGCCTCCTGAATATTGACTGTGAAAACAAGGATGGCTCCAAAATGTTGAACCTGGAAAGAGGGGACAGCAGGGGAGGGTACGGGCACCTACTGCCGTCCAGAGCAGGCAGGAAATGTGGCTTCCCATCCCTCTTGGTGGGTGGATACTCACTAAGTCTTTGTCAAATGAATGAATGAATGAGTTGTATGATCTTGGACAAGTTATATGATCTTACATGATCTCTGGGTCTCATTTTTTTCATGTGTTATATGAAGGGATTGGAATTGAATGTGTAAAACAAAAAGAGAGATACTTGGCTGAATGCAGTGGCTCATGTCTGTAATCCCAACAACTTAGAAGACTGAGGCAAGAGGACTGCTTGAGGCCAGGAGTTTGAGACCAGCCTGGTCAACATAGTGAAACCTTGTCTCTTAATATATATATATATTTTTTTAATTTTAAAAATCGGCTGGGTGTGGTGGCTCATGCCTGTAATCCCAGCACTTTGGGAGGCCGAGGCAGGCAGATCACCTGAGGTCAGGAGTTTGAGACCAACCTGGCCAACATAGGGAAACCCCATCTCTACTAAAATACAAAAATTAGCCAGGCATGGTGGCAGGC
Source organism: Homo sapiens (assembly GCF_000001405.40). Taxonomy (NCBI): domain Eukaryota; kingdom Metazoa; phylum Chordata; class Mammalia; order Primates; family Hominidae; genus Homo; species Homo sapiens. Next base: position 7,358,556 of record NC_000017.11, on the reverse strand, counting down.
ACCCGTAATCCCAGCTACTCAGGAGGCTGAGGCAGGAGAATTACTTGAACCCAGGAGGCAGAGTTTGCAGTGAGCTGAGATCATGCCACTGCACTCCAGCCTGGGCAACAGAATGAGACTCTGTCTCAAAATAATAATAATAATTTTTAAATTTTTAAAATATATATATTGAAAAAAAAGGGCGAGGTACGGTTGGGTGCAGTGGCTCACACCTTAATTCCAGCACTTTAGGAGGCTGAGGTGGGTGGATCACATGAGGTCAGGAGTTCGCCACCAGCCTGGCCAACATAGTGAAACCCCATCTCTACTAAAAATACAAAAATTAGCCAGGCGTGGTAGCGGGTGCCTGTAATCCCAGCTACTTGGGAGGCTGAGGCAGGAGAATCTTTTGAACCCGGGAGGTGGAGGTGGCAGTGAACCAAGATCGCGCCATTGCACTCCAGCCTGGGCAACAAGAGCGAAACTCCGTCTCAAAAAAAAAAAAAAAAAAAAGAGAGAGAGAGAGAGGTACTACCGTGGAAGGGGTAGGAGTTCTTCTACCCATCCTTAGGACCTCTCTGGGTACCCCAAACAATGATTCTAACCCTGGCTGTGGGTTACAGTAACCAAGGCCCCATATAGGACCACTTATTCCAGAATCTCTGGAGCTGGGGCCAAAGCACAGCTAGTTTTAAGGCTGCCCAGGTGGTTCTGATATGCAGCTGGCTGAGAACGCTTACCCTGGAGCCTCGAGGTACCCAGTTTGAAAACCCCTGGGCTAGGTAAGGGCTGGAATCCCTGCCAGGCCTAGGCACTCAGACTGTGCCTTGTGGTTGGCAACAGGCCTCTCTTCTCATGTTCCATGTCCCACGTTCCATTCCCAAACCAAAAACTCCTGATAGGCAGGGGACAAAACACCAGGGTTTCTCAACCATGCTCTGACATTTTGTTTCTTTCTTTTCTTTCTTTCTTCTTCTTCTTCCTCTTCTTCTTCTTCTTCTTCTTCTTCTTCTTCTTCTTCTTCTTCTCCTCCTCCTCCTTCTTCTTTTTCTTCTTTTCTTTTTTTTTTTCTCCTATCTCCCTTTCCTGGTAAACACTGACATTTTGGACGGGATAATTCTTTGCTGTGGGGACTTTCCTGTGTGTTGTGGGATGTTTAGCAACATCTCTAGCCTCTACCCACCAGAGGCCAGTAGCACGTCCCCCCAGTTAAAACAATCCAAAACGACTCCAGATGTTGCAAAATGTCTACTGGGGTGCAAAATCACCCCCATCTGAGAAGCACTGTGCTACTCTGAGAGTCTCCCATCCTTCCTCTGCCCTCCCCAGTTGCAGACAGAGGCTAGGCAGGGGCAGAGGCCATGAACAGCAAGTTTTACTTAGGCCTGGCAGGATGGAGGCCTCTGAGGGAGGCCAGGATTTCAAACTGTTAACACGATGGAGGGAGGGCATGCCCGCGAACCCACTGATGTGATCTCACTCTAGTGGGGTGAGTTTTCCAGAACATGCATTCCCGGATTCCCCATCAGTCATAGGAGGGCCTGGAATAGCTTCTGGGGCAGATGCCCCCGCTTTCCCGGAACAGGCAGAAGGGGGTGTGGGTGTGGTGGGAGTGGCGTAGGGGATTCTTTCCTTCTGTAGATATTTTCCTGGCATTGTTGACAGCCATGTGATTGGTTGAGGGCTGGAGGGGAGGAACTTTCCAGCTGTGGGTGCCTGGGTTCCCGGGAGGCCATCTGACACTGGGATTGTGGGGGATCTGGGTTTTTGGGGATTTTCTTGTTTTTCATTATCTCACCAACCAGAAGCAGGGATGTCTGGGTTTTAGGGTCTGGAGACTGTCTTTGGAGCTGGGACTAAGGGGCTGACTGGTTCCCCTCCAAGGGATGTGGAAGTTGTGAGTGCATACCCCTTAGAGCTGGAGGCTGGGAGGTTTTCAGCGTCTTCACAAGCCACTTTTTGCTTGGAGGTGGTGGGACCTGAGGGAAGACGAGGGTGGGAAGCCTACGGGAGGGGCCTGGGAGGGACAGAGGGAGGGAGGATGGGTGGTGGAAGGCACTGGGCGGGGTAGGATTCCTGTCTTTATCCCAAAACTCACTCCACCAGGAGGCTCAGAACACCCAGAAGCAGGAAAGCTCCGAAGATGGAGAGGAGCAGAATCTTGGCTTCCCAAAGATCCTGACTTCCTGCAGGGAACCCAGGAGGCAGTGAATGATTCTGGGACCCACACGCACCGACTTGGGAGCCCAAGGGCTCAGGGATCTGGGCAAGGTGGGGCGGGGCCAAGATGGGCGTGAGGACCTGGGAAGCAGCGCTTTCGGGGCCAGCAGGACACCTCCGTCCCCTTGCAGGTGGAGCAGTTGTACAGCGTGGTGCTGCCCCCTGCAGGAGACAGCAGAGGCAACGCTGGGGAGGGGAGGCCGGGCCTCCACCCTGCCTGGTACCCAGCTTCCTCCTGCAGCTGCCAGGCCCTCCTCTGACACCCTGCAGGCCCCAGGTCCTTGCTACCCCTTTCCTTTCCTACTCACGGCAGGCGGGGGGACAGAGAGCTGAAATGAAAGACAAGGAAGGGGTGGGGGTGTGAATGGATGAGCTGCTCACCACACATTCCTTTGGTTAAGACCCTAGGCTCCCCTTGAGGCCCATCCCGCATCGGTACCTTCCCTGGTGTACTCAGGGAGCTTGGTCTTTCGAAGCCAACTCCAATATGAAGGGAGTGAGGAGACAGCCTCTTTGATTTCTGGGGAGGCAGACAGCAGCTCCGTTTCCCTGGGCCTCGACGGGGCCAGTTCCCCCTCTCTTCACGCAGCCCCTCCCTGATCAGCCCTCCTGTCTCTACCCCTCCACCCTTCCCTGCCCACCCCAACCCCTGTCACCCGTCCCTCTCCTTGGTATCCTCCCAAGCCCCTAGGTCACTCTTTCCCCTTGACCTCACCCATGACCCTCAGGACTCTGTGAGTCTTCTCTGTGACTTTGTTCATGGACACCTCATCTGTGGAGATGGGCAAGGACCAGCGATTCCCTCATCAGCCCAGGTTCTGGGGTCTCTCCTGACTTTCCCAGATATGGAGCTCTCTCAGAGGGAAAGGCCAGCATGTCCAGAAAGGGCCACAGATGGAGGGCACAGCTGGAAGGTCACATGCCACCCTCTGGGGGTAGGGGGGTGAGTGCTTGCTGGGCCCATCCCTGGATGTCTGGTCCTACCTAAGGCAAAGGCCGAGAAGTCTGGGGAGGCCCCACATTCCTTCTGCCTGGCCTCCATCTGGCTGCAGAGCCGAGCCAGGCGGCCTGACAAGTCGTGGGCTGGGAGGCGACAGAAGACACAAGCCTGGGCGGCTGCCAGGAAAACCCCGCCTAGTGCCAGCCTCCACATGAGGACCACTGGGGGATGGGGCGGCGCTGCCCCAGCTGAGCCGAGGAATGCTCTGCAGCCCTGGCTCCAGCCCTTGCCTGGAGGTTCTAGAATGTTCCAGAACAATGAACAATGGCACTGCCCATCCTCAGCTGGGGTAAAGCTGGGGCTCAAGGAACTGGGGTCCAGAAGGCATCTCCAGCAGGCGATGGGCAGAGAAAGCAGGGCTTCTGTTGTGAGGGGACAGCACCCCCAACCTGGCCCTCAACAGCCTTCACAAGTTTGTGGTTCCAAAAGCAGTTTTATTTTTCTTCTTGTAAATCATGACCAGTGAGAAATAATGTGTGCCCCACCCCCCACCAGTGAAGAAGCTGTGCGTGAGTATCCCACCCGCTCTGGGACCCAGAAATCCCATCCCTTCCCATCTCCTCCCCCACTGTCCCAAACTCTTCGTCTCCTCTCTCTGCCCTGGGCGGCCTTGGGCCTTCCCCAGCTATCTCCTAGCAACAGGTCCATGGTTGCCTCAGCAACCAAGAGTTCCATACAGGCCTCAGAGGCCCAGCTAAGCCCAGTGACTTCTCTTACCTCTCACCAGGAAGATCCCAGTGACTCAAACCCCAACAGGCCCCTCCTGGCTACGTGGTGATGCATATACATGCGTGCACATAAACACACACACACACACACACACACACACCCTGTGATTAAACTACTAATTGTCAACCACCTCACAGGTATACCACAGACACACCCTGTGCCAGAAGAGTCGCTAGGCAACCCCAAACAGGCCTGGACATGCGGACATCACAGACACTGTAGTCAGCAACACAGATATGAACCAGGATGCCAGGGACCTATACATCAGTCAGCCACACGGGCTGATATGCACGCACACATGAAGAAAGGCCAGGACCCACAGATACTACCCTCTTCCCCCTGGCCAGCCCTGCCATCAGTATGGGATTCTTCCAGATGAGGGATGCTCCAGCCCCATTGCCATGGGGACTGTCCTAGCTCCCATACATCAACCTAGGGTGGGTTGTGGCCTTTCTGCCTCCCTCAGTAGATGGCTTGGAACATAGCAAAGAACTCCTCTTCCGATGTTCCAGAGTGTTCTGGCCTCTCATTGGTCAGGCCAGGCCAGGCCACCCAGCTTCAGGAGTAGAAGCCATGGTCCAAGAGACCGCATTGGGAAAATGCAAAGTCCTCCCTTTTCCCCAGACCTCAATATCCTTCCAGGGTTTTGCTAGGTCTAGTCTGGGTAAAGAGATGTTCCCCCCTTTTCCAAGCCCTTAAACACTGAGCTCCAAATCAAGGAGAGACTGGAGGTGCTCAGCCTTAGGCAAGAACAAGCTGAGAGAACCTTCCCTACCCCTCCCAGGGTCAGCACAGGTTGAGACCTTCTGGACCACTTGTGAGTCCTTGGTGGGCTCAGGTTTGGGAATTCCTGCCCACATCTGAGCTCCAGTCAGGTGCAGGAGAGTCCCGACTCTCATAGCTCCTGAAGCAGAGCTGGAAAGAGGCTTCAGGGGTGCTAGTACCCCATTCTCTCTCCTCCCCACAGTCAAACTGAGAACAGCATCCTCAGTGCCGGACAAAGCGCAGAGACCTGGAGTTGAGCAGGTCTTCGGGGTCGGGGAAGACAGAGTCTAGTCGGAAGCCGTGCTCGAGAGCCACCCGCAGCACCTCCTCCAGGAAGCTTGGGGTGCCCACCACCTCCCGCCGCTCTCCTGGCCCCCCAGTCCACAGCGGCTGCAGCCCCAGTCTCCCATACTCCACCTCGGGGAGTTCCACGGGGCGGGGGGCCCACTCCAGATGAAAATGTGGGCTCCCCTCTGCCCTATCCCCACTGGCCACACCAAATCGGGCCCGCAAAGCACCTAGACACTCAGAGTCGGTGCAGAAAAGGTTGGCTCGGAAGGTGTCCACCTGGACGGAGCTCAGCTCATAGTGATGGGGTCCCCGGCGAGCAGAGAAGTGCACCAGGCGGGGGCTGACATCTACATCTGCGTGGAGCAGGGCAGCTGTGGGTGCAGGGGTCCCCTGAGAGGCCTCCAGTTCCCGCAGCGCGTCCAGGAGGGGCCGGATCTGGTAGAAGTCAGCCTCTGCCCTGAGCAGCGCTGTCTCTCCGTACCCACGGGGCAGGTCCAGGCGGCCCAGCCTCAGGAAATTGAGGATGTGCCGGAAGGCCTTGCCATCCCGGTCGATGAAGTAGTGGCCGCCTCCTTGGGAATTGAGGTTGGGGGGCATGGGGGTGCCGGCCCTAAACATGGCCCCCAGCATAGAGTCTGGGAAGCGGGTCAGGGTCTCCAAAGTGGTGGAATATAGTGTGCCCCCCACATTCAGGGTCACGGGGCCCCCAAAGGAGGGGGGCGAAGAGGGCACAGGAGGAGGAGAAATTTTGGGAAGTACAGGAGACACCGAAAGAAAAGAAAAGGCAGAACTTCCTGGGTGTGTGCAGAATTGGGTCGAAGCTGTCAGATTCGCTGGGTTGGAGGCACAGGTGGAGCACACCCAGTAAGGTTTGGGGCTCACCCCGGCTACTTTGGTGGTGGATGGGGAGGTGGTGTCAGGACACAGAAATCCCCAAAAGGTTGAGAGAAGAGATGAAAAGAGCAGAGGGCAGCCAGAGAGGGGAAGGGAGCTTGAGGTCTGGACGTATCCGATTTGGGGTGGTCAGCGACACCCCTCTGTGGTCTTCAGACAGTGGGTTTCCGGAATCCAACCAGCAGGTGACGGTGGCGAGCACAGGGCCGACTCTGAAGGGATGGCCTCCGAGACCCCGGGCAGATCGCTGCCGCCGTGGACGAGTCCAGCCAGGGCTCTGGGGCCACTCAGAGGCCTGGCCTGGCTGCCGGCGCGGGTCCCAGGAGATGGAGGCCGAACTGACGGGAGCGGATGGCGGAGCCCCCTTGTATCCGCCGGGGAGCGACGATGCGTGCTCAGCCCGGGCTGGGAGTGTCCGAGGGCTCTGATGGAAACAGCCAGGAGTTTCGGGACCCGGCCGCGCCGCCTTCCCTGGGTGTCGCCGCAGCCGCTGAGGTCCTCTCCGCCCCCAGGAAGTGGCCTAAGGGCAGCGGCCCGGGGCCCTTTAAGAGACAGCCCCGCCCCTTGGCGCCCCGCCCCCGCCCCCGCGAGGCTCGCGCGGCCCGGGCGGAGGTGGGAGGCTGGAGGCGAGTCTCGGACGCGAGAGACTGGGCGGACTGGCTGGACTGGCAGACGCTGGCGGGACGGGGTGACTCAGGCACGTCGCCCCGGATGTGGCCACGACCGCCCCGCCGCCGCTCAGGTGTGCCCGATCTCACGTCTGCAAGTCGGCGGGGCTGGAGCCTCTAATCCCACCGCTCAGAGCCCGAGGCCCGGCCGGCCCAGCCCGGGAGCCGAGTCCCTCCCAGCGGCTCCCCCGGGGAATTCCCGAGGGGGCGGGTGCTGAGCCGCCGCATTCCGGGGATGCCTTCCAGCCGGGGTGGCCCGGGCGCGCTCTCTCCGCGGCGGCGCGGGGCCAGCGAGCCCCAGGGCCAGCCCCACCCCTCGGCAGGACTGGGCTGGCCACGTCGCCCCAGCCCGAGAGCCCCCGCCCCGCAGCGCCCTGCGCTCAGGCCGCGGCCGAAGCTGCCGCCTCGCTCCCCGGAGTCGCACCTTGCTGGACTGGAGCTCGCAAACCCCCAGCTGCTCCCCGCACCTCGGGAGCCGCAGCGCCCAACACCCTACGGGCCCGAAGGTGGCGCCCAAGAAGTGAACCAGAAGGGAAGAGCGAAGCACGGAGGCTTTAATGGCAGAGGGCCCGGTGGCGGGGAAGGGAGGCAGGCGCGGGCCCCGTGGGCCTCGGGTCACAGCGTGTGGAGGTCATGACTGCGACGGCTCAGCTTCTCCGGGTCGTCTGACGCCATGAGGGAGAAGTCGCGGAAGATGTCAAGATACGTCTCATCTCCTGGGGGAGGGAGGAAAGGCCGGGAGGCGGCTGGGCCCCAGTGCAGAAGGGCAGGATCCGGCGGTTGGGGCCCACCTGGGGACCTCGCGCTCCGAGCCTGGGTGGGAACGTGCGCGCCGCGGGCACTGCGCCAGCACCTATGCCTTGCCAGGGCCTGGCACGTCGCATGCGCCCAATACGCATTTGTTAAATAACGGAATGAATGCAGCTGGGCACTAGGGAGAGAGGTCACCGTGGACCAGAAGCCCAGAGTTCAGGTGTTGGGCCTGGGGGGTGGGGTGGGTGTATTCTTTACCTGCCTGCCCCTGGGCCGCTTCAGCCTCCCTCATCTTTGCCAGTCGTAGCCTGAAGAGGAGGGAATTAAGAAATGAACGACACTATCTTTGGCCGGGCGCGGTGGCTCACGCCTGTAATCCCAACACTTTGGGAGGCCGAGGCAGGCGGATCACGAGGTCAGGAGATCGAGACCGTCCTGGCCAACATGGTGAAACCCCGTCTCTACTAAAAATACAAAAAATTAGCCGGGGGTGGTGGCGCACGCCTGTAGTCCCAGCTACTCAGGGGAGGCTGAGACAGGAGAATCGCTTGAACCCGGGAGGCGGGGGTTGCAGTGAGCCGAGATCGCGCCCCTGCACTCTAGCCTGGGCGACAGAGTGAGACTCCGTCTCAAAAAAAAAAAAAAAGACTATCCTCACCTCCCCCACAACTTCCCATCCTTTGAGCTGGGTTGCGTTCCGTTCATCTGCCCCCACCCCCGGGGTCACGTCTAGTGCTAAAAAGATGCCTGACAGCAATGTTGATGGGCGAATTACGCCTCTCAGGGTGGGCCAAGCATCCTTGCACCCTGCCCGCCCTCCCGCCTGCCTTCTACTCCACGTCCCAGTGCACACTTCGCGCAGCCTTTCTCGAGCCTGGCCCCGGCGCTGGCCCAGCCCCTTTCCGAGGCCCCACAGCACAGGCTTCTGTTTCGGCGTCAGCCCCGCCCGCCCGCCCGAACGTGGGTGGGCGGGGGTGGGGGGAGTCCCAGCGCCAGCCCCGCCCCTTCAGGCATTCTTACAGGGTGACGATGTCAGCGTTGGCTGTTTCCATGGCGATGGTCAGAGGGTCCCTGCCTTCAGAGTCTCGAGCCCCCAGATCAGCTCCCCGTTTCAGGAACAGGCAGGCGAGCCTGGAGAGAAGAGCCAGGGTCAGCCGGCCGCCCAACTTCTCCCAGCCTTCCTCCCCATGCCATCATCCCTACCCCGTGTGGCCAAGAATGGTTGCGTGGTGCAGCGGGCCCCGGCCCGCACTGTCCGCTTGGTTCACGTTCGCCCCGTTCTGGAGGAGAAACTCACAGGCCAGAAGAGAATTCTGCATGGAGAAGTCGAGAAGGGGGGTTGAGGGTGGCATCCCTAGTGGTGGATTTCAAGATGTCTTAGGGTGGCGCCAGTTCAGAGAATGGGAGGGTGGAGTGTGGTAATCAGGAGTGTGGAAGGGGTTACAGCTAACTGTAACCAAGCTAGGCTTGGCTCTAGCTCTTTGCATGTATTCATATATAAATCCATAGTACAAGCTTTTGAGGTATGTTACTATTTTACAGATGAGGCTGAGAGGTTAATAACTTGTTAAAAGTCTCCTGTAGGCCGGGCACAGTGGCTCACGCCAGTAATCCCAGCACTTTGGGAGGCCGAGGCGGGTGGATCACAAGGTCAGGAGATCCAGACCATCCTGGCTAACACGGTGAAACCCTATCTCTACTAACAATACAAAAAATTAGCCGGGCATGCTGGCTGGCGCCTGTAGTCCCAGCTACTCAGGCAGCTGAGGCAGGAGAATGGTGTGAACCCGGGAGGCGGAGCTTGCAGTGAGCCGAGATCGCACCATTGCACTCCAGCCTGGGGGACAGAGCGAGACTGTCTCAAAAAAAAAAAAAAAAGTCTCCTGTAAGAGGTGAGAGCCTGGGTTCAAACTCAGGTTCTCTGCCTCCAAATCACACACTCTTAGCAACCAGTCTCTATTGTTGATCTCTCCCTATGGGTGGAAGCCCTAGGGAACAGGTGGTGGGGAAAGGAGGTAAGGGCAGGGCCCAGAGTCAGGAGTAGGTGTCAGAGCCCTAGGGTGGGGTGGAGAGGTCAGCAGGGCTCTTACAGCAGCTGTGGCCTGGATCAGCGGTGTGGCATTATCTTGGCCCCCATTGACCCAGTTGACATCAGCTCCATGGGCAAGGGCATCAGCCATGGTGGGAAGAGATGGAGGATGCCCAGACGCTCGAAACAGTAGGGCCCCAGGGTGCAGGCTTCCCAGGTCCTCAGAGGGGGGCTCTGTTCGGGGGATTTGGTTCTGTTAGGGGGAAGCAGCTCCGAGTCTGGGAAGAAAACCCTCAGCAGTGTCCCAATGCTATAATGGGACAGGTCTCTTCTAAATGATGGGGAGCTTGGGACTGTGGAGGGAATAGAGTGATGCAAGTGTGGGTATGTGTAAGTATGCGTATGCATGTGTACGAGTCCCTAGGGTGTGGGGGAGAGACGGCATCATCACCTCATCTGGTCCAACCACACTTGGCCTCAGCTCTCAACCCCTGACGCTCCAGCCAAACCCACCCCCTCTCTCTCTCCTTTTCTTGTGCTGTTGGCACCCCTTACCCTCCCTGCCCACGCCCAGCCCCACATTCCTTCTCATTCTTAATGTCACACTCCACCGTAACCCCTGAAACGGCAGTCCGGTCCCTCCGACATTGTCCAGCGGAAGGCCTGGGCTTCACACTCTGTGCCTCCCGGCGCTACCTGGCACGATGCCGAGCACACAGCAGATGCTCAATGAATGCCCAACCAACCCTATACCTGGCTTGGATCTCAAGCTCCCTGGCCGGGGCCTGATGGAAGGCTTTGGGGGCACAGGAGGCTGCCCCCTTGGGCGCCCCCGGCCACCTCTTCGCCCTCGAATCTCAGGCAGCTTGGTCAGGAACTTCTTCTCCACGTATTTAGCGTGAATCCAGGCCTCCTTCTCCTGCCTGTGGGAGGGGAGAAGCACGCAGTCTTCCCTCTTCTGCTCCAGGGGTCCCCCATTCCCCTGGGAGGCTAAACCCCAAGCTCACCGGGAGCAGCTGGGCCCTGGTTTCTTCACTGCCATGGCCTCCACGCGGGCCTCATAGATCTGGTTGATGATGACATTTCCCAGCTCACACATGAGCTTCAGGAGGCCCAGGCAGAGGCAGAGACAGGGAAGGTGGGGGTGAGTGACTCCTCAGGGATCACGCCCCTGCACCGCCATGTCCTTGCCCCACCCCAAGTTCTTGCCCCCAATCTTCACAATACGCTAAGTTACCTTCACTAGTTCTGGCTCCCATGAGTCAAGGGTCAGAGACCGGACTTTGGAGAAGTGAACACCAAGGCTCCTGGAGGGCCAGAGGGGGAGGGTCAGGCCCTGTGCAGGGGGGCAGTGGCCTGGGGAGCTGCTGCTGCTCCTGAAGACACTGGGAGGCAAGGCTGGCATGGGGGCCCGTGCAGAGGTGCTGGCCCAGGAGGCAGGGCAGCTGCGGCCATGTAACCGCCATGTAGCCTTGACCTGGCCCTGGCAGGACTCTGCCTCGTCACCATTCCTTCTTCCTTAGGTTTCATTTCAAGGCCCTCATCACTCCAGCCACCTCCCTTCTCTAGTGACACTTGTGACACTTTGGCCTGGACAACCTCTCCCATGTCACCTCCCTTCCACCACACTGAGGTGGGGGGCGAGGGCCTTAGATACTTGCTAAGGCCTCATGACCGTTTCTCTGCCTAGTCTTCACTGGCTCCCCCACCCTCAGCAGCCTTGACCCCACACTTCTTCCAACCAAGCCAACAAATTCTGGGTATCCCCCAATTCTGGCCAGACTAGGACACAGAGGGGCTAGGCCCGCCTGGGTCCAACTGGCACCCCAGAGGCTTGGGCCCAGGCCTGGTACCCAGTGACAAAGCCAGAAGCTAAGAGAGGAAGCCAGGACAGGGAAGGAAGAGGGGCCGGTGTGATGCGCTCTGTATTGGAGCCGCACTGTGGCCCGAAGGAGTGGGGCTCCCGCATGGGCCTTGTGGAGTAACCTGTGGATGCCGGAACACTGAATGCAGAGGGTGACACCAAGGTTGATGCTGGCCCACTCCGGGGCTGGCTCCCGGCAGTCGCAGCACTGGGCATTGCCATCCACACTCTGGACCTGGGCCACCACGTGCCCGACTCCCCCAGGCTCCCTTCCCCTGGCCATTCCACCAGAGCCCAGGGTGGCAGCAGAGCCTATGGCCAGGTGTCCTGAGCCCTGGGGGAGAGAGGGGAAGAAAGGGTGGCCAAGGGGCCTAGGGTAAAGGGTGCCCCATCTCCACAGGCAGCCTGGCTCCGCACCCCCAGGTTAAGGTACCTGGCCTGGACCCCGGGGGCTGTCATCAAGGCGAGCCTGACTGAAGGCAGAAGCAATGCTGCTCTGCACAGCACTGACCCACAGCTGCAGGAGGCGCTCTGAGTCAGCCTGGAGGAGGCAGGACCTAGGTAGGAGGGTGAGGGAGATGGCAGAGGGGTCTGAGGCCTGGGAAGCAAAGTGGCAGCATGGGCAGACTGACATTCAGCCAGTATTCAACCAGTTCCAGTTGCATTGAAAGACTTCTGTACCAGTTGGTAATATTCTCCTAAATATCCCCCATCACCCTGTACCCTCTTCCACAATGGCCCCCCAGTCCAGCCGCCAAAGAATTAAATTAAAGTCTGGAGCTGCATGGGGGGCCTCCATTGTGGTGGGCCCTGCCTTTCAGATTGGCAGTTGTTTAGATATATTAGAGTATCACCCCTGGGGATTGCACTCACTTGCTGGTGGACACCACCTCAAAGCAGAACCGCCTTTCTGAGTCAGGGCAGAGTTTCACTGTGCAGAGACGAAGGTCATCCACCACCACAGTCACAGGGTCCTGGCAGGATAAGGTGATAAGGGGCCAGATGTCCAGCTGCAGGCAAGAGCTGAGTCTCCCTGGGGCCCAGGCATCCAGGACCCAGGTCCACTCACCTTGTACTTCTTCTGGTAAACCAGTTGGTTGCTCTGAATGGTGAACCAGCGTCTGTAAGAGAAGGAAATCATTACAGACATAGGCAGCTTTAGGATGAGGGACGGAAGAGAGGCTGTGCTTTTTGCCCATGAGGATCTTACTGAGAGGACAGACACCTGGGCTGACTGTTCCACGAGACATTCCAGAGAAGGGTGGACAATTGTGCAGATTGGAACATCTAAAGGATGCTATTCCTATCTTGGACAACCCAGATTTCATATAGTTATGAAGACAACTTTCCAGCAGATGGCAGTAAAATTCTTTTTCTAATAAAATGTCTATTGCTACAATTTAAAAAATACTATTTAGGCTGGGCTCACACCTGTAATCCCAGCACTTTGGGAGGCTGATGGGGGTGGTGGATCACCCGAGGTCAGGAGTTTGAGACCACCCTGACCAATATGGTGAAACTCCGTCTCTACTAAAAATACAAAAATTAGCCAGGCGTGGTGGCAGGCGGCTATAATCCCACCTACTTGGGAGGCTGAGGCAGGAGAATCGCTTGAACCCAGGAAGCTGAGGTTGCAGTGAGCTGAGATCGCACCACTGTGCTGCAGCCTGCGCAACATAGCGAGGCTCCATCAAAAAAGAAAAAAAAAGAAAAAGAAAAAAAGAAAAGAAAGAATCTTGGGGGCCAGGTACAGTGGCTCACGCCTGTAATCCCAGCAAGTTGGGAGGCCGAGGCGGGTGGATTGCTTGATGTCAGGAGTTTGCAACCAGCCTGGGCAACATGGTGAAACCCTGTTTCTACCAAAAATACAAAAATTAGCCGAGCGTGATGGCACACGCCTGTGGTCCCAGCTATTTAGGATGCTGAGGAGGGAGGATCACTTGAACTCAGGGGATAGAGGTTGCAGTGAGCCGAGACTGCGCCACTGCACTGCAGGCTGGGCAACAGAGTGACACCCCATCTCAAAAAAAACAGAAAAAAAAAAAGAAAAGAAAAAGAAAAAAGAGTATCTTGGGGAAGCAGCTCCATTTTCTAATTTGTACAGAGATCCCATGTGGGCTAGCAGTGGCCCTAGAAGGGAAAGGAGTCAAGTCACAGCATGCCACCATCCTGTTCCAAACCCTATAGCGGCTCCCAATTGCTCTCAGAGTAGACCCCAAATCCCTACAAAAATCTATAGGGCCCTATAATGACTCATGCCCCCATTAGCTCCGATTTCATCTCCTGCACATCCTCCTCCCTCACTCTGTCCAGACCCAGGGCCACCACCCTGCTCTTCCAACTCCCCAGCTATCTCAGGGCCTTGGCACTGGCTCTTTCTTCTGTCTAGAACTTTCTTCCCCCAGATATCCTTCAAGTCTTTGTTCAAAAGTTACCTTCTCATGAAGCCCACACTGCCCAACTATTTAGAACTGTAACCCCTACCCAGCTCCCCACATCCCTTGCTTTATCATCTTTCTCCTATAGCAAGCACTATCACCTTCTAACATAGCACGTAATTTACATACTAGGTTTATCCTCTGTCTTTGCTGATGGAATGAAACTCTACTGAGGCAGGGGGGTTCGTCTGTTTTTCCTTGCAGTGCTTAGTGTGCTATTACCACTCGAAAATACATCATTGGGTGGGGCGGGCTGATTGGGGGTGTCCTCTCCTCACCTGCTCCAGGTCTTAAATGCGTTGCTGGCCCGTTTGAAGAGATGTCCTTCCATCACCAGGCCACCAGGCCCCTCTCTTAAGCTTGGTTCTGGCTCCTCCCCACCCAGCTCCTGGAGGCACAAGAGGATCAAAGGGCAACTGAGATGGGCAGACACCAAGGCCATAGGCATCTGCCTCCTGCCCACAGCCCTAGCCCTTACTTTCTGCTTTTTGAAATACTTTTTAAAATTTATTTTTAGAGACAGGGTCTTGTTCTTTCACCCAGGCTTAAGTGCAGTTGTGTGATCATAGCTCACTGCAGTCTTGAACTCCTGGGCTCAAGCAATCCTCCCACCTCAGCCTCCTGAGTAGCTAGAACTAGAGGTGCATGCCACCACACCAGCTAATTTTAAAATTTTCTGTAGAGATGGAGTTTCACTACGATGCCTAGGCTAATCTTGAACTCCAGGCCTCAAGCAATCTTCCCACCTCAGCCTCCCAACATGTTGGGATGACGGTCGTGGGCCACCGCACCTGGCCCCTCACCTTCTGTTTCAGCAGCACGTGTCTCTGCTCCATGTCCCTCTTCTCTCGTGCTGAATTCAAGACCAGCTGGTGCAACTGGGCACAGGAAGGGCATCTCAGATGTCCAAGGCCCCCCAGTTAGGAGTCCCTAACCTCCCTCTACCACCTGCTGTGCCCTGGGGCCCCACCTGGGCGCCCAGCTCCTTTCGATACTGGGACAGCCGGCTCAGCTCCTCATGGCCCTGCTGGAAATGGGTAGCCTGGGCCTCCACCAAACGCAGCACCTGGGGGACAAGGCGGGCAGTGGGAAGGCTGAGGAAGAACCCCTCTCCCCATTCCCTTGTGCTGGCAGCAGGCTCTTCTCCACCCTGCCCTCACCCCCGCCACAACTCACAAACTCCATGATGTCAAACTTCCTCTTGTCCTCAATCACGTTGATCTGAGGACGTAAAAGAGGACGTAAAAAACCCCAGATCAGTCTTGAAGACACAGCACCCCTTCCCACTGCACACTGGAGACCCCCAAGCCTCGAGGTGACACTTGAGGCTCTGGTACCCCAGGAAGACAGATTGGGGCAGGCACCTGCAGGGCATAATCCAGTGCCCGTCCCCGGTACCCAGCTCGAGCCGTCCTCAAAGCAGCTCCTGCCTCTTCTGCCTCCTGGGCCCGGCGCCTGGGAACCTCTGCGTTGTGGGTCAGGGCAGCCTCCAGGCTCTCAGCCCCCCGCCAGAAATCCCGGCGAGCCTCTCGGAAACCCCGCAGACCTCTGAGGATGGGAAAATAACACAGAATCGCAGCTAACACCCACCTGCCCCAGCAGAGCATTCCCAGGGTAAAGCCCTCATGTCCTTTCAGTTAGTCTCTGCAACGTGGGAAACCCAAGGTGATCCCTGGGACGGAAGTCAGGACACCAGAAACCCCCAATCTCACAACTCCGTCACTGGGGAGGCTCCTGTGGCCATGGGAAGAGGGCAGCAGGGCTGGTTTCCGAGAAATAAGGCCCCCTTCTCTCCCATCTCACTCCCCCTTTAAAAAATTTTTGTTGTTGTTGTTGTTTTTGTTTTTGAGACCGGGTCTTGCTCTGTTACCCAGGCTGGAGTACAGTGGCACAATCATGGCTCACCGCAGCCCTGACCTCCAGGCTCAAGCAATTCTCCTGCCTCAGCCTCCCAAGAAGCTGGGACAACAGACATGTGCCACCACGCCCGGCTATTTTTTTTTTTTTTTTTTTTTTTTTGAGGCAGAGTCTCACTCTGTTGCCCAGGCTGAAGTGAAGTAGTGCGATCTTGGCTCACTGCAACCTCCACCTCCTGGGTTCAAATGATTCTCCTGCCTCGGCCTCCTGAGTAGCTGGGATTACAGGCACCTGCCACCATGCCCGGCTAATTTTTTTTTTTCGTATTTTTTAGTAGAGCTGGGGTTTTGCCATGTTAGACAGGCTGGTCTCGAACTCCCGACCTCAGGTGATCCGCCCGCCTTGGCCTCCCAAAATGCCGGGATCATAGGCATGAGCCACCGTGCCCGGCCTAATTTTTGTATTTTTTGTGGAGACAGTTTCGCCATGTTGGCTAGGTTGGTGTCCAACTCCTGGGCTCAAGCAATCCTCCCGCCTTGGCCTTCCAAAGTGTTGGGATTACAGGCATGAGCCACTGCGCCCGGCCCCATCTCACTCCTTGACCAGGGTCTGGATCTGCTGCTGCAGTGTGTGTTGGGTGGCATCTAGAAGCTCCTGAGGGAAGGAGAAGTTGGTAGACTGGGGTCAGGACCACAGGTGACCTGGCCACCACCCCGACAATCCTTACCTTCCCCTACTTACCGCATGGCTGTCCAGCTTGTGGTTCAGGCTCACGGTGAATTTTTCCAGACACTCCTAGGCAAGAAGAGGCACAGAAAGAGTACCAGGCATGGGGTGGCAGCACCCTCCCGACTCGAGACCCAGCCTGCTACGGCTGTCATGGACAGCAGCCCAGCCCTGCTGTGGCCTGGAACCTGCAGACCCCAGGCCAGCCCTCCTCTTCCACAGCATCACCTCCTCATCCCAGACCCCTTCCCTCCCAGATGCAGACCCTCCGCATACCGCCATCATGGGCTCTGGTGGACCCAGGCGGGCCAGGTCACAAATGCCGACAACGAAGGCGCGGCTGGCAGCAAGGTAATGGCGCCCACTTTCCAGGAGACCAGTGCCCAGTTTCAGGAGCTGGGAAAGAAGGAGGGTAACAGGGAGCTGTGCCATCATCCTCACACCTGGTGATGCCCCCACACCTGCCCCACTTCCTCTCCCCTTGCCCAGGGCGGCGCTCCCCTATTCCTGCCTGGCCTCACTGCCCTCCAGGCTCATCCAGCTCTCCCTGTATCTAACACATACCTGCTGTGTTCTTATCGCTGCGTCTTTGCTCCCACTGCCTTGGGCCTGAAACCCAATTCCTGCCCATTCCTCTCAGCCTGTCGCCAACACCTCTGTCAGCCTTACCTCCAAAACATCTTTCCCTGTCCACTCGCACATATCTCTTCCTGCCCTGCCTACCTGCTTAGATCCAGAGCTCCGTGGAGATTCCTGCATGGTCTGGATGCTCTACCTGGTTGCTATTAAATTCTACAGTATTGGCCGGGCGTGGTGGCTCACACCTGTAATCCCAACCCTTTGGGAGGCCAAGGCGGGCCAGTCGCTTGAGCTCAGGAATTCAAGAGCAGCCTGGGCAACATGGTGAAACCTCATCTCTACTAAAAATTCAAAAATTAGCCAGGCATGGTGGCACATGCCTGTAATCCCAGCTACTTGGGAGGCTAAGGCAGGAGGACTGCTTGAACCCGGGAGGCTGAGGCTGTAGTGAGCTGAGATGGCACCAAGTGCCTATAATCCCAGTTACCTGGGGGGCTAAGGCAGGAGGACTGCCTGAATCCGGGAGGTCAAGGCTGCAGTGAGCCGAGATGGCGCTACTGCACTCCAGCCTGGGTGACAGACCGAGACTCTGTCTCGAAAAATAAATAAATAAATAAAATCTATAGTATTTACTGCTAGGAGTTGTCCCATTCTGTGCTCACTGCACGTTCCCTCATAAATATTAATCCATCATCTAGACCACGGGTCAGGGCCAAGAGGAAATGCCGGGGTACTCCTGGGGCCCATCCTATCTGGCTCTTTTGACTGACAAAGAGACTTGATAGGCCAGGCAAGGTGGCTCAGACCTGTAATCTCAACACTTTGGGAGGCTGAGGTGGGTGGATCACCTGAGGTCAGGAGTTGGATATCAGCCTGACCAACATAGTGAAACCCCATCTCTTTTTATTTTTCTATTTTTGAGACGGAGTTTTGCTCCGTTGCCCAAGCTGGAGTGCAATGGCATGATCTTGGCTCACCACAACCTCCACCTCCCAGGTTCAAGCGATCCTCCTGCCTCAGCCTCCAGAGTAGCTGGGATTACAGGTGCCCGCCACCACGCCCAGCTAATTTTTTGTATTTTTAGTAGAGACGGGGTTTCACCATGTTGACCAGGCTGGTCTCGAACTCCTGACTTCAGGTGATCCACCTGCTTCGGCCTCCCGAAGTGCTGGGATTACAGGCATGAGCCACTGCACCTGGCCTGACCGAGATCAAATCTTATCAGACATCACCATGGGTTGTCTGTGACAAGGTACAAGGATGTTCACAAATCACTGTGTGAATCTGAGGACTCTGTGTCTAGTTTTTTTCCTTACCATCTCAGCCCCTCCCCCTTAGATGAGTAAGAAACTTTCATAACACTGGACTAGTGACAGACTGGGACATCTGTTCAATAGAACAGTACTCAGCAATAAAAAGGAACAAACTGTTGATATGTGCAACAACTTGGATAAACTTCAAGAGCATTCATCTTTTAAAAAATTATGATTATTTTTAGAGTTGAGGTCTCTGTCGCCCAGGCTGGAGTGCAGTGGTGGGATCATAGCTCACTGCAGCCTTGAACTCCTGGGTTCAAGGGATCCTCCAATCTTAGCTTCCTGAGTAGCTGAGACTACAGGCACACACCACCATGCCTGGCTAATTTAAAAACAAAACAGAACATTATTTAGAGACAAGGGTCTTGCTATGTTGCCCAGGCTGGTCTCGAGCTTCTGGCCTCAAGCAACCCTCCTACCTTGACCTCCTGAGTAGTTGGGATGACAGGCATGAGCGACCACACCCGGCAGCAGCATTATTCTGAGTGAGGGGGGAGGGGGAAGCCAAATCTCAAAGGGTCACATAGTGTATGATTCTATATATGGAACATTCTGGAAATGACAAAAGTAGAGAGATGGAGAACAAATCAGCGGTTACCACAGATTAAAGAAGTGTGGGAAGGGTGTCGGGTACCACTGTAAAGGAATTCCTTGTGTCCATTGGTGTGTGGTGATGGTTAAAGGAATCCATACACGTGATAAAGTACCATAGAATTATACACAAAAACACCAAAAAAGAGTATATGCAAAATGTAAAATCAAAGTAGGATCTATAGAGTTTATTTATTTATTTAGAGACAGAGTCTTGGTCTGTCGCCCACGCCGGAGTGCAGTGGCACGATCTCGGCTCATTGCGACCTCCGCAGGCTGGAGTGTGGTGGCGTGATCTCGGCTCACTGCAACCTCCGCCTCCTGGGTTCAAGCAATTCTCCTGCCTCAGCCTCCTGAGTAGCTGGGATTACAGGTGCGTGCCACCACGCCTGGCTAATTTTTGTATTTTTAGTAGAGATGGGGGTTTCATCATGTTGGTCAGGCTGTTCTCGAAGTCCTGACCTCGTGATCCACCTGCCGCAGCCTACCAAAGTGCTGGGATTACAGGCGTGAGCCACTGAGCTTGGCTAGAGTTTATTGGGGTTTTTTGTTTGTTTGTTTTTGTTTATTGAGACAGTCTCACTCTGTCGCCCAGGCTGGAGTGCAGTGGCACGACCTCCACTCACTGCAAGCTCCACCTCCCGGGTTCGCGCCATTCTCCTGCCTCAGCCTCCTGAGTAGCTGGGACTACAGGCGCCTGCCGCCACACCCGAATAATTTTTTGTATTTTTAGTAGAGACGGGGTTTCACAGTGTTAGCCAGGATGGTTTCGATCTCCTGACCTCGTGATCCGCCCACCTTGGCCTCCCAAAGTGCTGGGATTACAGGCGTGAGCCACCACACCTGGCCGAGTTTATTGTTAATTGTAATGTGACACTATTAATGTCCTGGTTTTAATAATGTACTAGTATTGTATAAGATGTCACCACTGGGGGAAGCTGGGTGATGGGTACATGAGACCTCTCCTCACTAGTCTCCTGAGTCAATAATTTACTCAAAATAAAAAATTCAGGCCAGGTGTGGTGGCTCACACCTGTAATTCCAGCACTTTGGGAGGCTGAGGTGGGAGGATTACTTGAGGCCAGGAGTTCCAGACCAGCCTAGGTAACATAGGGAGACCCCATCTCTACAAAAAATAAATTTAAATTTAAAAAAGCCAGGCGTGGTGGCATGTGCCTGTAGCACAGCTACTGGGGAGGTTGAGGAGGGAGGATCACTTGAGCCCAGTATTGAAGCATCTGGGATCACAGCTGTGGCCACTCCATCCAGTCCATTGTTTAAAATTATTATTTGTAGGCCGGGTGCGGTGGCTTAAGCCTGTAATGCCAGCACTTTGGGAGGCTGCGGCAGGTAGATCATTTGAGGTCAGGAGTTCAAGACCAGCTTAGCCAACATGGTGAGACCCTGTCTTTACTAAAAATACAAAAAGAAAAAAAATTATCCAGGTGTGGTGGTGCACACCTGTAATCCCAGCTACTTGGGAGGCTGAGGTAGGAGAATCACTTGAACCTGGGAGGTGGAGGTTCCAGTAAGCCGAGATCGCACCACTGCACTCCAGCCTGGGTGACAGAGCGAGACTCCATCTCAAATAAATAAAAATAAAAATAAAATTATTATTTGTAGAGATGAGGTCTCACCATGTTGCCCATAAAACAATGTTGCCCACTAAATTTGTGACAATTTGTTACACAGCAATAGAGAACTAATATATAGCAAGCAAATACATAATGTGTCAGAGGTAAATGTTGCAGAGAAAAGTAAAGCGAAGTAAGGGGAATGAGAGAGCATTTGAGTGTGTATTTGTGTGAACATGCTGTTTGATAGAGTGCTCAGGGGACACCTTACTGTCTTGAATTGAAACGTTTCACTGGTTTGTCTTCTAGTCAGCCTTTGGGCTCCGTGGGAGCAGAAATGATCTTGTCCTCCCTGAATGCCCAGGGCCTGGCACAATGCAGGAGCTCAAGAGCAGAACAAGGAAGTCCAAAATTAAGTCTTTTTTTTTTTGACACAGAGTCTCGCTCTGTCGCCTAGCCTGGAGTGCAGTGGTGCGATCTTGGCTCACTGCAACCTCCGCCTCCCAGGTTCAAGTGATTCCTCTGCCTCAGCCTCTTGAGTAGCTGGAGCTACAGATGGGTGCCACTAAGCCTGGATGATTTTTGCATTTTTAGTAGAGATGGGGTTTCGCCATGTTAGCCAGGCTGGTCTAGAACTCCTGACCTCAGGTGATCCATTCACCTTGGCCTCCCAAAGTGCTGGGATTACAGGCATGAGCTACCATGCCTGGCCCAAAAGTAAGTCTTGTTTTCCAAGATCCTGAGCTTCTTGTCGGTACAGAACCACCTTTTTTGCTTCTCTGCAGTCTCCAAAATATCTCCCCTACACAGTATTCAATAATCCCTGGGATGCATTCTGTGTCTCCAGCTTTCTCCCTGGCCCTACCCCTCTCAACCTAATCCACTCCTGGGTCACCTCTCCATGTCAGGGTCACCTTTTCCAGACGGGTCTCCAATTCTGACACTTCGGCTTCCACCAGCTCAATAGAGGCTCTGGGAAAGAGGGGGTCATGGGAAGAGAGCTTGGGTCCATCTGGTCTGTCTGCCTCATCAGGCGGGATGGAGTCGCAGGGCGGTGGGTACGGAGGAGAAAGCTGCAGAGTTGAGAGGCTCGCCCCCCACCCACCTACTTGTGCTCTGCCCGCTCTGCAGTCTGGGAGCTACCACAGCCCAGGCCAGAGCAGGAAGGGTAGAAGGAGGGTGGATGTGGCCAGGGCAGGAAGTTGCTAACCGCCCCAGAGCAGGTGCTGGGGGAGGGGCAGGGGTCCCACTGAGAGGCCAGAGGGAATGCCAGCTCTAGGGGTGAGGGAAACTGCAGAGGCCAGGAGGAGCATGCAGGGGCAGAGAGCATTGGAGTACCCTGCTTTCACAGCTGGGGTACCACTTTGGCCCACAGGCTCGCTCCTGCCTCTTAGAGGCCTGCTCCCTGGAAGGAGACCTGGCCTGGGGAAAGGTGTGTGTGTGCTGGGGGTGTTAGACTTTCCCCTCCTTAGCCCCCCAGACCAGTTCACACTTACCGGAAACGGGGTGAGTCCTTGAGACACTCCTCGAAATCCAGCTTGACCGTCATCTCAGCTTGCCTGCTGTGGGGCCAGCGGGCCCTGGAGGCCGGGCCCCTGGGGATGCAGGTGGAGGCACTTTCTGTCCCAGGAAGGGGAGATGAGGGGGAAGGAGGAGAGGGACCTCCGCGGGGAAGGGCCTGGGGGCACAATTCTTTCCCCAAGGGGAAAGGGGTGTCCTAGGAGGAGCTCTCACCCCACACTTCCAGGCAGTGCTGGGAGGGGCAGGGGCGGGGCCTGGGCGGAGGATGGGGGCCTGAGATCAGAGAAGCCACAGCCCCACCCTCAGAGACGATCTGCCAGCTCCTTCCTCCTGGGGCTCTAGCCTCTGTTTCTTTCTCTCTTCGTGGTTATCTTGGGGGCCTGGCAGATCTAGGTTCAAATCCTGGCTCTGTCACTTAGAGGTTATGTGCCCCTGGACGAGCTCTCTGATTCCTCAGTTTTCTCATCTGGAAGATGGGAATGATAACCCCTTCCTCCAGGGCTGTACGAAGTGAAGAAGGTGATAGCAGTAAATTCATGGTTCACTAAATTTATTTATTTATGAGACGGAGTCTCCCTCCATCGCCCAGGCTGCAGTGCAGTGGCGCGATGTCGGCTCACTACAACCTCCGCCTCCTGGGTTCAAGCAATTCTCCTGTCTCAGCCTCCCGAGTAGCTGGGACTACAGGCTCCTGCCATCATGCCCGGCTAACTTTTTGTATTTTCAGTAGGGACGGGGTTTCACCTTGTTGGTCAGACTTGTCTCGACCTCCTGACCTCAGGTGATCCACCCACCTCGGCCTCCCAAAGTGCTAGGATTACAGGCGTGAGCCACTGTGCCCAGCTGGTTCACTATATTAATTGCATCAGTCATTGTCATCCTGCTACAGCTTGGGCCTGCTCCTGTGGAGTCCAGTACCCCGGACTGCTCCCAGCTTTCTTCGTTTTGCCGTCATATTCATGGTTCCTGTGTGTGAACTCCCCTTCCTCCTCCCCTCTCCTCAACGACTGAGCAGGCCCAGCCTGAGCACCCGATTCACAGCTCCCAGACTCTTGCTCTTCTGCTCTTTATTTCTATTCATAGGGTGGTCATGAAGGGAAGGTTGCCCCCACTCCGCCCCCAACCAGCCCCATTTTCCATTGTTTGCTTTCCTTTTCTTGAGTCCATTGAAGTCCCAGGGTTTCATCTGGAGAGAAGAGTTTGAGTTCATGGCTTTCTCGTAGCAGGCATGAGATCTTGTCCATGTGACTCTGGATCCCCTAGAACCTCCCCACTCAGCTCCTCTACCTCCCTGGCCAGTGTATGCATCCCCTTGCCTCTGCCCAGGCTCAGTGTGCCAGGCTGTGCTTGTTCTGGCTTGAGGAGTTGGGGTTGCTTCCACTCTCCCTCTCTGAACTCCTTGGGCTTTGCCAGCTCAGCCCCCCAGCCACCAGCTGGACACCACTTGAGACTCACTGTCTTTGGAGGACAGAGAAATACCTGGAGTGGGGTGGTGTGGCAGAGGAGTGAAGGAGGAGGCATGGAGCCAGTGTGTGGTGCCAAGCTGGAGGGGGTCCCAACCGCCTCTGAGTCTCCCTGGTTCCTCGCCTGTCCAATGTGGACCTTGGACTTGAGGCTGTTCAGGGCCTCTCCTTCCACCTGTTGCTGATGTACTGGCCTGAAAGAATTGGAGGGCTGGGAGATGGGAGCTTGCCAAGAGACAGCCCCAGGGAGATGGTGGCCTGGTGCCCTCAACAGGCTGCAATGTTGTCATTGTTGCCATCAGGGAGCTCTCCGTGGCCTTGTGATCCCTAAAGGGGCCTCCCATGTGGTCCAGTAGGTGGACTTCAGTGCTTACGGGGTTCTCAATCACCTAGGTCAAGCTTGTGGAGCCTAGAATCAGGGATCAGGGCTCGGGTACCCATCAGGCTGTGCATTCCCAGCCCTCCTGCCCCCTAGGCTGGCCTGCCCAGGTTCTCACCATCCTGATGCTCATCTTCCACGTCCTCTACAAGCTCTGGGTGGGAGCAGGACCTCAGGTATAGTCCTTTGCCATCATATTCCTTGTGCTGCAGAGCAATCTCCTGCCCCAATATGATAGTGGCCACAGCTGGGGGGACTGATTTCTGTAGGTGGAGGAATCTGAGGAATCAATCAAATGAATCCAAGTCTTCTAGCCATCTGGTGTATCCATGCCTCCCAGGTGTCTGTTGTGGGCCCTCACCAGAGGGGAGAAGCTCAGGCCCCAGATCCTCATCTCACTGACTTCTCTTACCCTTCCCATTTTAGAAAAACTTCAGTGACCGCTCCACCTCCCCCCATGGTTGTCTCGGACTTTTGTTTATTTTTTTATTTATTTTTTGAGACAAGATCTTGCTATGTTACCCAGGCTGGAATGTGTTAGTGCCATCATCGCTCACGGCAGCCTCAAACTCCTGGGCTCAAGCTATCCTCCCACCTTAGCCTCCCCAGTAGCCTGGACTACAGGTGCACGCCACCACACCTGGCTAATTAAAAACAATTTTTTTCTTTTTCTTTTTTTGTAGAGATGAGGTCTCCCTACGTTGCCCAGGCTGGTTTTGAACTTCTGGCCTCAAGCAATCCTCCCAAAGTGCTGGGATTACAGAAGTGAGCCACTGGGCCTGGCCAACAAATCAGCCCCCAATCAGACTTTCTGTTCCTCAACAGCCAATAATCTCCGGGGACTATCCTGAGTGGGGTCCTTCCTCCAGCTGCCCTCTTTCTTCCCTGGGGTTACTTCCCAGCATTACCTCCCTGTCAGGCAGCAGAGTCTTGGGCTGATAGCCACTGAGGAAGACAGACTGTGGTAGAGAAGTGAGGAACGGGCTCTGGAATACAACCCCCTCTAGTCCCTGGAGCCCCGCCATCGCTAACCCTCGGCTTCAAGGATGTGCCTCCAGGTGACCAGGCCTGGCTCATCTTTGGCTCCTCTGGCTAGTTCTCCTGCCAAGCCTCTCTGCACAGGCCTGGGCTCTGGGTCCAGCATCACGCCTTGACTGCCACCGCTGATACTGATAATACCACCATTGTCATCCTCATCCTCTTCATTCTCCAAGGGCTGGTTTTTCTGAGCCTTGAGAAACTTCCCTTTGTCATAGTGTGCCTTGCGGCGCTTGTCAAAGTCGGTGGAGTCTGTGACCATGGTGAGAGCTTGGCTTTCCCACCGCACTCTTGCCAAAGGCTCGCTCCACCTCCCCCTTTCCATTCAATCCACAACCCTCATCTCATGTTGTGGGCGAAAGATTACCTAGGTGCCAAGGTAAGAGACTGAAGGCACAAACTGTTTCAGTATAATAAAGAAATAGTTAGAATAAGAATAGTCATAATACAAATTAGATATAGAGATGATCATGGACAATTATCAATCATTATTATAGACATTATTAATCATTAGCTTTTAATATTACTGTTTGTTGCATTACTAATATAACCTAGGAATAACCGGCGGGTATAGGGTCAGGTGCTGAAGGGACATTGTGAGAAGTGACCTAGAAGGCAAGAGGTGAACCTTCTGTCACGCTCGCATAAGGGCCGCTTGAGGGCTCCTTGGTCAAGCGGTAACGCTAGTGCCTGGGAAGACACCCGTTACTTAGCAGATCGCGAAAGGGAGTCTCCTTTCCTTGGAGGAGTCAGGGAACACTCTGCTCCACCAGCTTCTTGTGGAAGGCTGGATATTATCCAGGCCTCCCCGCAGTCATCCGGAGGCCTAAACCCCTCCCTGTGGTGCTGTGCTTCAATGCTCACGCTCCTTGTCCACTTTCATGTTCCTCCCGTACTCCTGGTTCCTCTTTGAAATTCGTAGTAGAGAGCAGTAGAAGAAATAGTGAAAGTCTTAATGTCTTTGATCTTTCTTATCAGTGCATAGAAGAAAACGCTGACGTATGCTGCCTTCTCTCTCTACTTCGGCTACCTAAAAGGGAAGGGCCCCCTGTCCTGTGATCACGTGACTTGCTGCACCTTGTCAATCACTTAGAAGATTCACCCTCCTTACCCTGCCCCCTTGTCTTGTATGCAATAAATATCAGCGCAACCAGTGGTTCAGGGCCACTACCGGTCTCCGCGTCTTGGTAGTCATCCCCCAGGCCCAGCTGCTTTCTCTTTATCTCTTTGTCTTGTGTCTTAATTTATTACAATCTCTCGTCTCTGCACACGGTGGGGAACACCCGCTAAGCCCCATAGGGCTGGACCCTACATCATGTATCTTGGAAAAGTTGTCTGCAGGCCCTGAGCTCCTGTCAGCACAGTCCTGGCGGAACCTGGGGCAGATACTGTCCATCATGGCAATCCTGAAGGGGCAGGAGACTAGTTGGGGGCATCAAGAGAAGAAAATAGCAATGGGGACAGGTGGTAAACGAGGCCAAATTGGCGGACCCCTGCCCCCATCCAGGCCTGATGGAAATTGTAGCACCTCCCACTGCAGGTGTCAGAAAGCAGACCCGCTGCAGACCTGAATTCAGGGCTGAGGGAAGGAAGAGGCCCCATAACCCGGCTGATCTCTGGCAGGACTCTTACCTCTCTGCCAGCACTCCAGGATTCACTGAGCAGGAGGAGCCGGCAGAGAGGTCCTCAAAACTGTCCTGCAGCCTGCAGAGGAGGGGGAAGCAGTGCCGGGAGGTGGGTGTCAGGCAGTATCCAGTCCCTGAGGCGCTCTGCCTCCTCCACCTGTCCCCTCCTTTAAATAGAGAAGAATCTCTGGACTGAAGGGTTGGGGCTGAGGGCTCAGCACCTGTGGTAGGGAGTGTTGGGCTCATCCACCATCATAAATCCATAGTCCTTGTCAGCAGGGCGGTAGGTGGCCAGGATATTCATCTCGTCCCAGTGCTGAGACTTCCTTCTGGGGCTGGGGGAGGAGACCTTCTAATGACCCCCCCATAGGCCTCCCTCATTTTCCCAGTCATTCAAAACAGGTTTTTTTTGTTTTTGTTTTTGTTTTTTGCTTTTGTTTTTGTTTTGAGATGGAATCTTGGCTCTGTTGACCAAGCTGGAGTGCAGTGGCACGATCACAGCTCACGGCAACCTCTGCCTCCCGGGTTCAAGTGATTCTCCTGCCTCAGCCTCCTGAGTAGCTGGGATTACAGGCGTGCGCCACCACACCTGGCTAATTTTTGTATTTTTAGTAGAGATGGGGTTTCACCATGTTGGTCAGGCTGGTCTTGAACTCCTGACCTCGTGATCTGCCTGCCTCGCACTCCCAAAGTGCTGGGATTACAGGCATGAGCTACCCTGCGTGGCATTCAAAACAGTTTTTGTTGTTGTTTGTTTGTTTTTTGAGATGGAGTCTTGCTCTGTTTTCCAGACTGGAGTGCAATGGTGTGATCTCAGCTCATTGCAACCTCTGCCTCCCCGGTTCAAGCCATTCTCCTGCCTTAGCCTCCCAAGTAGCTGGGATTACAGGTGCCTGCCACCACACCCGGCTTATTTTTGTATTTTTAGTAGGGACAGGGTTTCACCATGTTGGCCGGGCTGGTCTCGAACTCCTGACCTCAGGTGATCTGCCCACCTCGGCCTCCCAAAGTGCTAGGATTACAGGCATGAGTCACCACTCCGACTCAAAACAGGTTTCTTATACCTTGTTGAGGCTGGGGATGGGGTCAGACTTAATGATAATCACAGTCCTGTGCAGCCACGGTTTATGGGGCACCTGCTCTTCTCCCGAAAGCCTGGAACCTCGGACTTCCCACTCAATTGCCCTCACCTACTCTAACTCTTCATTCTTAAGGCTCTGCCCCTTTCCTTCTGGCTCCCACCCTCAGGTGTCCTGAACCCTCCCGACTCTGGGCTGGCTGCCCGCAGAGCTGGGCTCCTTACTTCTCCACATTGGGGGATTTCTGCATCAAGTTGGAGCTGTTCTTTCGTAGGATGCTCCGGGGCCGGTCCTGTTGGGAGTTTTGGGGGTTCAAGCAAGTTGGCCCAGAGTGCGGACTGCACCCGGGGCTGTTTACCTCTTGCCCTGCAGGTCCCCCAGGCCCGGGGCTGGAAGCCCTGGATACACTGGTTCGAGGCCCGGGGATGTTGAATCCACCAGGGTTCCTGCCAGACCCAAGGCTGTGGTTCGCAGCCTCCCTTGGGTGCTGACTGGGCCCGGAACCAAGGACCACTATCCCCCCGGAGGGACAGCTTGAACCAGTACTATGAGTTACGGAGCCCCCTGAGTGCACGTGGGGCCCAGAACCGTGAAACAAGACTACTCTGGAGGGCTGCCCAGCGCCTGCCTCGACTCCTGTGACCGCTGCGGGCACTCCTCTGGCTGCCCCTCCAGGGGAATCCCGGTTGAGGCCGCCAGCAGCCCCTAGGGACTCCACCTTCTCCATGGCCCCACTGGGGGGCTGCTCTCAGCGATCCTGACCCGCCTCCCGGCTCCACGTAGCCCCGCCCCTGGCCCCGCCCCCACCGCTGCCGGCCGGGGATGCTCGGGCTCAGTCCCGGGTCCACTTCTCCCCTGCTCCAGAGCTGCGGCGGGCGGAATCAAGACTATATAGAGACTCGGGCTGGGGGTCCCTCCGCTCGCCCCTTTCCTTTGTGTCCCACCCAAAGATTTTCTTTGTCTGGGCAATTTGTTCCCGCCCTTCTCCATCACCACCCTCATCCAAACCAGCCAATCCCAGTCAGGGGGCCAGGCCAGGAGCTTCGACTGTGACCTCACGGTCCTCCAGCCTGAGCTTGAGCTTCGGGGAGTTGGGCAGGGGGCTTGTTAATAGCTCTAAGGGAGATCTTTTGGGGTCATCAACGCTGTCGCTTGAAACGGCCTGTCGGGACTTCTTTAGACTCTTTGTGGTCTTAACATGGAATAGTTTGGTTGAGTTGGAGTTGAAGCTGGGCTTGACTTGAACTATCAGCGAGCTTCCCCCACCCCCGCCAGTCGGCTAGCTCAGCCAATCAGAAGAGGTGTGAGGCAAAGTGGAAGGACTGCCGCACTGTTGCAAGACACTTCGTCCTCAGTCGGGTGGCGGGAAGAGACTTTCACTACCGCTTCTCTGGGTCCTCCAGACTCGGCTCACGCTGCTTTGGAGCCTGCATCCCGAGGGGAGACACCCCCTCTTGCCGTAAAGCGAGTGCTTCAAGGTGTCACCGCCCCCTAGCGAGGGCGGGGTCGTCGGTGCCGCTGTCGCAAAGCAGAAAGTGTTTGGGCTCCAGCACCCCACCGTCGTAAAGATGCCTGCGGTGGGCGTGTCTTTCTCCCACTGTCGCAAAAGCTCCCTGCCCAGGTCTTCGTCCCCCTCGGAGCCGCTCCGTCACCTCGCTATGCCGTAAAGCGAGGCTCCCGACCCCGTGTCCTTCTGTTCTCATCGTGGTCGTCCCCAGCTCCTAGCGCGGGCTGCTTCATTGCCCGGCAGTGCCGTAAAGCATACCTGGCCTCAGCCCCCCGGTCGTATCCCTCGGACTGTCTGCCCGACGCGGTTGCCACGGTGCCGCCAAGCGCGGCTGTCGCGCTGCCCCGGTGTCAGCGGAGATGGCGGCAGGGTCGGGTGGGAGTGGGGGCTCTGGGGGAGGCCCTGGACCGGGGCCGGGCGGGGGTGGGGGCCCCAGCGGGAGCGGCTCAGGACCGGGGTCCAACGGGGGTCTGGGCAGCGGCGGGGAACTGCACCCGCGCACTGGGCGCTTGGTGAGCCTGTCGGCCTGTGGGCGTACGGCGCGGCGGCAGCAGCCGGGCCAGGAGTTTAACCACGGGCTGGTGTTGAGCCGAGAACCCTTGCGCGATGGACGCGTCTTCACCGTCCGCATCGACCGCAAGGTGCAGCGCTGGTACCGCGGAACAGAGATGTG
Source organism: Homo sapiens (assembly GCF_000001405.40). NCBI lineage: Eukaryota > Metazoa > Chordata > Mammalia > Primates > Hominidae > Homo > Homo sapiens. Next base: position 7,328,998 of record NC_000017.11, on the reverse strand, counting down.
GAGGGTGGTGGGAGGCGTCTAGAGGGAGACGGGGTAGGACAGCCAGGGTAGCCCACATTGCCGGGCACCGAGAGGGAACAGAAAGACCATAGAGCACCAGGGGGCGGTCAGGAAGACAGCATGAAGCAGAAACATTGAGTTTGAAGATGACATTAAGAGCTTGAGTTTTCTCAAGATCCAGAACCAGGGAAGGGACACGAGGGCTAACCCACTAGAATGGCTGGGAACAGACCTCCTGGTACAATTTCTTGGGCATGGAGGATGGAGAGATGTCAGAGATGTGATGGCAAGTGAAGAAAGATGCCAAGGAACGAACAAACGTAATCCCAGCACTTTGGGAGTCCGAGGCGGGCGGATCACTAGAGTCAGGGGTTTGAGACCAGCCTGGTGAACGTGGTGAAACCCCGTCTTTACTAAAAATACAAAAATTGGCCAGGCATGGTGGCGTGCGCCTGTAATCCCAGCTACTCTGGAGGCTGAGGCAGGAGAATGGCTTGAACCCGGGAGGCAGAGGTTGCAGTGAGCTGAGATCATGCCATTGCACTCCAGCCTGGGCAATAGAGTGAGTGAGACTCCGTCTCAAAAAAACAGAACAAACCATTGAAGGACAGAGGCTGTGCCAGAAAGATAGGTGAGGAGAAAGATCCAGGGTGAGGGAGGTGTGTGTGATTCAGTGAAGAGGCCAGGCTCACAGAAAAAGAACTTGGAAGGAGATTGAATCTGGGTAGAGCCTGATCTTTGGAGAGAATTAGGCCAGGGGAAAGGAATGAATGATACACAAGAGCAAGAGGTGTGGGTATAGGAAGTAGGAGAATTTGGATGGTTGGAGAGCCATAGAGACAAGGAAAGTTAGAGGAGGCAGGAGGTTGGAACCAAGGAATTTGTGCTTGGCTTGGAAAGGAGTGGTTTAGTAAACACTGAGTAGAGAGCAGAGTTGCTAAAGGAAAGCCCAAATAATTACCAAGACGGAGTCCAGAAAATCACTGTCTGCATCTCTGGATTAGTGTTCCAAGAGACAGAAAGCCAGCTAGCTGTCTGAGAGGTGGGAAGATATGGTGGCCTGTGGAATGGGGGGTGGCCCATTCTAAGCCTCTGTCCAATACCCCTATCCCAGGTCAACTCCTGGAGCGGCTCCATTGAGATTGGGGTGACAGCGCTGGACCCCAGTGTGCTGGACTTTCCAAGCAGTGCCACGGGCCTGAAGGGGGGCTCGTGGGTAGTGTCGGGCTGCTCTGTGCTGAGAGATGGACGCTCTGTGTTGGAGGAGTATGGTCAGGACCTGGACCAGCTTGGTGAAGGGGACCGCGTGGGCGTGGAGCGCACAGTTGCTGGGGAGCTTCGGCTCTGGGTGAATGGGCGGGATTGCGGTGTGGCTGCCACAGGCCTGCCCCCTCGTGTCTGGGCCGTCGTGGACCTTTATGGCAAGTGCACCCAGATCACCGTGCTACCCCCTGAGCCAGGCTTCAGCCCCCCTACTCCCATCCCCACACCTCCCCTCGAGCCCTTGGCCCCCACTGAAGACTCTGCCTTGGCTGAACAGGGGACCTCTGCAGATGAAGGTGAGAACACAGCTAGGGCAGTGGTGGTGGGGTGGGGACGGAATGGGGGAAATAGAGTGACAAGACAGGCTGGGTGTGGGCAGGGCCACCCTGATCCCCAAGTCTGTTGAATGGGAGAGCAGGAGCTAGAGGATGGGGGGTTCTCCTGGCTATGGGCCGTGAAGCAGGGACTGAACCCTTATTCCCCTCCCATCCCACCTGGTCCCCAGCCTTCATGGTGTCCCCAGCGCAGGCCCGGCCGGAGACGTTTCCTAACAGCCTTGAGTCGCATAATGGTGAGGGCTTTGGGGAGGCCCTGGGAAGGGGAGTGGGAAGTGAGGTGGACAAGGGAGGGCCCTCAGGAGAAGGGGTAGGGAGAGAGGCACCAGGTCTGGGGGTGTAGAGCCTCATCCCAACTTCCGAGCTTCCTTCTTCCATCCTGCTGCTATAGACTTTGCCAACATGGAGCTGTCTGAGGTGGTGAGCAACACCATCCTGTCTGCCTACAATGGAGGGCTCCTGAATGTGAACCTGAGCTCCCCACCGGCAGGGGAAGGCCTGGGATCTAGCGGTGCTGCCACCTCGCCCATTCTCACTTCCAACGATGCCCTGCTCTTTCATGAAAAGTGCGGGACCCTCATCAAACTCAGCAACAATAATAAGACGGCTGAGCGCCGGCGGCCCCTGGATGAATTCAACAATGGGGTTGTCATGACCAATCGCCCCCTTCGGGACAATGAGATGTTTGAGGTGTGCAAAGTCCTGTGGTCTGGTTGGCGCCTTATCCCTGGGAGCTAAAGATGGGGATTGACCCTTGGTGCTAGGAGGGTGGGCCCTGGGGAAGAACCAAGGGCTGAAGGTCCCTTTCTGCATTTACATTCCCTGCTTCTCCCTTCTGTCCCTCAATGCCAGATCCGTATCGACAAGCTTGTTGATAAGTGGTCAGGCTCCATTGAGATTGGGGTCACCACCCACAACCCCAACAGTTTGGAGTACCCAGCCACCATGACCAACCTCCAGTCAGGTACCAGCCCCGGGCAGGGGCGGGGGTGCAGGCCTGGTGTTGCTGAGGGGAAGGAAGCCCCGTACCCGAACCCAAGTGTCCACTATCACCCAGGCACCATCATGATGAGCGGCTGTGGAATCCTGACCAATGGCAAGGGCACCCGCCGGGAGTACTGCGAATTCAGTCTGGATGAGTTGCAGGTGAGGGTGGGGCACAGATCCCTGGGCCGCTTTCAGCAGAGCCACAGGTACTCTGTGTCCCTGCCAGGGCACCAAGCAGGGTCTCCTATGTGACCTAGAGGCAGTCCCTGTATCTTCCACCTAAAGGTTCCTTCCTAGAAGCCTGAGTTGCCCAAGAGTTCAGCACTCAGATTTTGGAGTCAGATGGTTGAATTCCTCTTACTGTTTTCCCATTTGTAGTAGCGAACCGGGGCAAGAAGCTTATCCTCTTTGATTGCTCCCCCACCTCCTGCAATCTCTAAAATGAGCCTACGAGTAGTACTTATTCCATAGGCTGAGACTTGTAGAAGCTAATGTCTGTGAGGTGGTTTAACTCAGTGCCTGACTCACGTGGAGCATTGACGAAATGTGGAAATTGTCATGTCTGGAAAACAAGGACCCAGGACCTGTCCTCCAGGGTGGTCTGAGACTCTCACGAATACCTTCTGGAGTTGTTCCTGTGTGGAGTGGGGTGCTGAGCAGGCCTCAGGACTCCTCTAAACTGTTTGTCTTCTTTGATTAGGAGGGTGACCACATTGGCCTCACAAGGAAGTCCAACTCTGCCCTACACTTCTTCATTAATGGTATCGATCAGGGTAAGGGCCGCCCAGAGAGAGCCTCTGGGCCGGGGCTTTCGGTGGGGCTGGGACTGGGGGCTGTACCTCATCCTCCTGCTTCTCTTTGGTGCTTGGCCTCCCTGTGTTTGACTTTCTCCCCTCATTCTCCCTGTCCACTCCCACACCCCCGTACCTTCCTGCCACAGGAGTGGCAACCCCCTTGACGCCCCCAGTGGTGTATGGTGTGGTGGACTTGTACGGGATGGCAGTGAAGGTGACCATCGTCCACAATAACAACCACAGTGACCGTCTCCGCCGAAACAACGCCATCCTGCGGGCGCTGTCCCCCGAGGGTGCTCTCCGCCGTGCTGCCCCTGCCGCCCAGGCAGAACCTGAGCGCCTGCTCTTCCACCCCAACTGTGGGCAGAAGGCAGCCATCACCCACGAGGGACGCACTGCCCTGAGGCCCCAGTATGGCCCATGGGGTGGGGAGAAGCCTGAAGAAGGGATTCTAATGGGGGGGGGGGGGCGGGGCAAGGAAGTGGAAGGCAGAGGGAGCCTGGCGGGGGCAGCTTCCTGGAGGTTGAGCTTTAGTTCTTTGGCTTGGGGCAGTGAGTGTTGGCAGGCATTGCTGGGCTAAGCCTTGGCACATTGAGAGCGTGTGTTGGGGATCTGACTCTCCACTTGCTGTGCCCTCAGTGCCACCGATGACTTCAATCACGGCGTGGTGCTGAGCAGCAGAGCCCTGCGGGATGGAGAGGTGTTCCAGGTGCGCATCGACAAGATGGTGGACAAATGGGCTGGCTCCATTGAAATTGGTGTCACCACCCACAACCCTGCCTACCTCCAGTTGCCCTCCACCATGACCAACTTGCGCTCTGGTGAGCTCCCAGGAAGGGCAGGGACAGGATAGGGTTTTGGGGGGAAGCTATCCCCAAAGCCCTGGCACTTGTTCTGCAGCTCCTTTTTCACTTGTCACTCTTGTGACCACTCATTCAGTGGCTAGAGAGTGTCCCGTGGGCAGGGCTGTGGCTGTCTTGGAAGCTGCAGAGTTTTCTTGTCCTGCTCAGGGAAGAAATCTAGTCATCAAAGAAAAGGCAAGGTGGACTGTGGGCTCGGGAGTCCTGTGGGCGCTGCTGTGGCAAGGAGAGGAGCCCTGCATTTCCCCTCATGTCCCCTCCTGCTCCTTGTCCTCCCAGGGACCTGGATGATGACTGGGAATGGGGTGATGCACAATGGGACGACCATCCTGGATGAATACGGGCACAATCTGGACCGCCTCAAGGTGGGAAAGTGGGTGCGCCGCCTGGCGGCCGCAGCGGGCATCACAAACACCGCGGGGCTGATGCAGGACCAGCCCCGGCAGGAACTCTGCCTGACTCCTCACTCCAGCACCCCCTTCTTCCAAGGCAGGGGACACGGTGGGCGTGGTACGGCGGGAGGACGGGACTCTCCACTTCTTTGTCAATGGGATGACTCAGGGCCCTGCTGCCTGGAACGTGCCCCCGGGCGTCTATGCTGTCGTCGATCTCTATGGCCAGGCGGCCCAGGCCACCATTGTGGACGACGTGGGTGAGGGCCGGGCTGGGCTGGGGCTGGGGGTTAGGGTGGCCTTGGGAGGTCTGAGAGACACCTAGAGACCTGATGGGTGATGTCCACTTTTACAGAGGTGGCTCCAGTTCCTGAACCACTCCCTGAGGGGAACAACCAGGTGTCTCCAAGCTCTCCGTCCTCAGGGGCCGGGGGCTCTGACCTGCGCTTCCATCAGCTGCACGGCAGTAACGCAGTCATCACTAACGGGGGCCGCACCGCCCTCCGCCACAACTGTCGCAGCGAGTTTAATGACGCCATCGTCATCTCCAACCGGTCAGTCTCTCAACTTTCATGTCCCCACCTTCCTCCTGCCCAGCCTCAGCCATGCAAGTAGAGCCTCTCTGATCGCCAGTCTCCTGGCAGGGCCCTGCGGGATGGAGAGCTGTTTGAAATTGTCATTCAGAAGATGGTGGACCGCTGGTCAGGCTCCATTGAGGCTGGTGAGGGCCGTCTGTGTGTGTTGGGGGCTGTTGGATGTCTGTGCCTTGGGGATCGGCCTTGACTTACCCCTGCCTCCTCCCAGGAGTGACTGCTATTCGGCCTGAAGACCTGGAATTCCCCAACACCATGACAGACATTGACTATGACACATGGATGCTGAGGTTGGGCTTCCTGCTTTGGGGACCAGCTTGGGGCTGAGTGGAGCTGGCTGGGATCAGGGAAGCAAGGTTTGGGCCTATGGTGGCTGTGGGTAGTGACAGACCTAGGGGATCTACCTGTCCCCTCCCCTTGAATTCTGGGAAGTCCTGCCCAGGCCCACAGGGGCTCAGTCCTCCTTCATCTTAGGCAGTTCTTGCTTTTTCCTAAGGGGATCCCAGGGACAGAGGAGATAGGATTGGGCCTTACACCCAGATCAAGACACCAGCCCAAGACATTGGAGGGTTCTGACAGACAGGGAGTGGGCAGGGGCCAATGTGAAGTTGAAGTTGGCAGGCTGACTCACCCCTTCTGCCATCCCCCCAGTGGTACAGCCATCATGCAAGACGGTAACACGATGCGCAACAATTATGGGTGTGACCTGGATGCGCTGGGCACAGGTGCACGCATTGGCATGATGCGAACTGCCAAGGGCGACCTGCACTACTTCATCAACGGCCAGGACCAAGGCGCTGCCTGCTCGGGCCTGCCTCCGGGTAAAGGTGACTATGTGGCTTTCAGCCTGCCACCCTCAGCCCAGACCACCTGGCTGTCAGGCTTCTGACCTTCCCTCTCCTCCCCAGAGGTGTATGCGGTAGTCGATCTCTATGGCCAGTGTGTCCAAGTGTCCATCACCAATGCCACCGGCCCCATGGACAACAGCCTGGCGACCAGCAACACTGCCACCGAGAAGTCCTTCCCACTGCACTCCCCAGGTGCGGCAGCAGGGCGGGGGCTGGACGGGCTCTGCTTGCCTGCTGTGCACCTGAGGAGTAGGGTTTCCAGGTTAGAGAGGTTCTGCAAAGACGGTTGGCTGGGGTAGCTGCCGGCTCCAGGGAAGGGACAGCCCACGGTGGCAAGCAGCCAGTGAGGGGGAGGTTACACCTGGTACTTAGAGCCTGGACACTTCCCTGCCACCAAGGGGCCAGGACACCATAAGCTGAGCATGCCAGGTTTGGAAATGGGCCTTGCTGTGGTGAAAAGAGGTATCAGGGCCGGGCGCAGTAGCTCACGCCTGTAATCCCAGCACTTTGGGAGTTCAAGGCAGGTGGATCTCTCGAGCACAAGAGTTTGAGACCAGCCTGGGAAACATGGCGAAACCCCGTCTGTACCAAAAATACAAAATGTAGGCAGGTGTGGTGGCATGCACCTGTGGTCCCAGCTACTTGAGAGGCTGAGGTGGGAGGATAGCTGGATCCCAGGAAGTCGAGGCTGCAGTGAGCCACGACTGTGCCCCTGCACTCCAGCCTGAGTGACAGAGCGAGACTCTGCCTCAACAAAATACAATAAAGAGGTGTCAGGAGGCCCTGAGGTGTAATGGCAGATGGCAGATGGGGCGTTGGCATCCCCATTTCGTTTCATCTGAAAGCTTTGCTCTGTGTTCTGCCTGAAGCTCGCTGCCCCAATCCTACCCCTTCTACTGGTGCCATCTCTTCACAGTGGCTGGCGTGGCTCACCGATTCCACAGTACTTGCGGCAAGAACGTCACTCTAGAGGAGGATGGCACGAGGGCAGTGCGTGCCGCTGGCTATGCTCATGGCCTTGTCTTCAGTACCAAGGAGCTGAGGGCTGAGGAAGTCTTTGAGGTAGGCCGTAGTGATGTGACAGAGGGGCTGCGAGGCCCATCACGACAGGGCCAGCTTATGTTTTCTCTGTCTCGTAGGTGAAAGTGGAAGAGCTAGATGAGAAGTGGGCAGGTTCCCTGCGGCTGGGGCTGACCACACTAGCACCGGGGGAGATGGGACCCGGGGCAGGCGGTGGTGGCCCAGGGCTGCCTCCTTCCCTGCCAGAGCTCCGGACGAAGACCACTTGGATGGTATCCAGCTGTGAAGTGAGGCGTGATGGGCAGCTCCAGAGGATGAACTATGGCCGGAACCTAGAGAGGCTGGGGGTGAAGTGGCTGGCTCCAGGGACAGGGGAGGGGTTGGGAGTGGAGGTGGCAGGGAGAGGTGGGCTGAACATCGTCCGTCCTTGTCCTACCTCGGTCCTAGGTGGGGAGCCGTGTGGGTGTTCGTCGGGGGGCAGATGACACGATGCACATCCTGGTGGATGGAGAGGATATGGGGCCTGCAGCCACTGGCATTGCCAAGGTAGACCTGAACGCTTCCTTGGGTTCTGGGAGGATGGTTGAGGTCTTCTGCTGATCTCTGATTTTCTGGGTCTTGTGTGCCTCCCAGAACGTGTGGGCTGTGTTGGATCTCTACGGGCCAGTCCGCGGTGTGTCAATTGTCAGTTCCACGAGACTGGAGGAGTCAGAAGGCACCCAGCCTCCTTCCCCCAGTTCAGACACCGGCAGTGAGGGCGAGGAGGATGACGAGGGCGAGGAGCATGGCCTGGGAGTAAGAGGCTGCAGCATGGTCTGCTGTGCACATGGATGGGCAGTTGCTGGGCCGTTGGATGCCAGGCCTTTTCTGGGTTCTCTGATCGTTGGGTGGAGGCTCACACTCAGGATCTGTGCAAACTCCAGTGGGGTGGGTCAGTCCTGGCATTGGCAACCCATGCAGCTCAGTCCCTTCCTCCACACCAGGGCCAGAATGAAGTGGGTATTATACCCACCACCCTCGAGTTCCTGGAGAACCATGGGAAGAATATCCTTTTGTCTAATGGGAACCGTACGGCCACACGGGTGGCCAGCTACAATCAGGGCATCGTTGTCATCAACCAACCTCTGGTGCCCCAGCTGCTGGTGCAGGTGGGTTCTCCCTCCCTATCCCCAGCTTCTCTCGCTCCACAGTGACCCATGGCCAACCCCCCTGAAAAAAGGCCTTTTTGTGTGGAGAAAAAGAAAGCAAGCCACTTGGATGAGCTTCCTAGGCTTTTATTCATAGCCTGTAATGAGGGTCATCAGTCAGTTACCACGAAGTCCCTACCTGGTGATTGGTGAGGGAAGCAGTAGGGACAGGCTGGAGGAGTCCAAGAGAAATGCCTGATCCTATATGTGGGAGCAGAGAGGGCTTTCCAGAAGAAGGTGCCTTTTTGCTACAAACTGAAAGATATGTGAAAGTTAGCCAGCTGAGCCCGGGTGCGGTGGCTCATACCTGTAATCCCAGAACTTTTGGAGGCCAAGGCAGGCGGATCGCTTGAGCTCACGAGTTCGCGACCAGCCTAGGCAATATAGTGAAACTCTGTCTCTACAAAAAAAATACAAAAATTCTCCAGGCATGGTGGCACGAGCCTGTAATCCCAGCTACTCGGGAGGCTGAGGTGGGAGGATCACTTGAACCTGGGAGGCAGAGGTTACAGTAAGCCGAGATCACGCCACCGCACTCTAGCCTGGGAGATAGAGCAAGACCTTGTATCTTAAAAAAAAAAAGAAAAAAAGGCCAGGCTCAGTGGCTCATGCCTGTAATCGCAACACTTTGGAAGGCCGAGGCGGGCAGATCACGAGATCAGGAGATCAAGACCATCCTGGCTAACACGGTGAAACCCCGTCTCTACTAAAAAATACAAAAAATTAGCCGGGCGTGGTGGCGGGCGCCTGTAGTCCCAGCTACTCGGGAGGCTGAGGCAGGAGAATGGCTTGAACCCAGGAGGCGGAGCTTGCAGTGAGCCGAGATCGCACCGCTGCACTCCAGCCTGGGCAACAGAGCGAGACTCCGTCTCAATAAAAAAAAAGAAAGGAAAAGAAAACTAGCTAGGTGAAGGAAGTCCTAGGAATAAGAATCCTTAGAGATCCTTACAGAGGCAACAGCAAGGTCAAGGCTCAAACAGCATGTTTTTTTTTTGTTTTTTTGTTTTTTTGTTTTTTTTGAGACGGAGTTTAGCTCTTGTCGCCCAGGCTAGAGTGCAATGGTATGATCTCGGCTCACCGCAACCTCCACCTCCCGGGTTCAAGCGATTCTTCTGCCTCAGCCTCCCAAGTAGCTGGGACTACAGGCATATGACACTACGCCCGGCTAATTTTGTATTTTTAGTAGAGACGGAGTTTCACCATGTTGGTCAGGCTGGTCTCAAACTCCTGACCTCAGGTGATCCACCCACCTCAGCCTCCCAAAGTGCTGGGATTACAGTGTGGGTCACCATGCCCGGCTGGCGGTTCTTTTTTTTAAAAAAAAAAAAAAAAAAAAAAAAAAAAAGAGGGAAAGAAACAACTAAATTAGCGTTTTCTGGTCCTTCCAAGCATAAGAAAAGGCAGCATCCCAGGCCACATTCTGGGAGGTGCAGTATTCCCTCTCTGGCTGGGGTGCGGAGCCTGGTTCTTCCCAGGAGGCTGTGATTATGGAGTAGTTCTTTCTTCCCCAGGTGCGGATAGATTTCCTAAACCGACAGTGGACATCTTCCCTTGTCCTGGGAGTCATCACCTGCGCGCCTGAGAGGCTCAACTTCCCTGCTTCTGCCTGTGCCCTCAAACGGGCAGCCTGGCTGCTGCGGGGCCGTGGGGTCTTCCACAACGGTCTCAAGGTGAGTAGGAGCCAGAGAGAAGGAACAGGACCAGGCCTGTGAGTAGAGAAGGGCTGGCCAGAAGGGAGAAGTGGGCCCCTAGCCTTGGAGGTAGGACCACAGGTGTAAAAGGGGAACAGTAATGGGCAGGCAAGGGCGAGTAGCATTGCCTGGTCAGTCTTAGGCCTGCTGCTTCCTGCGGTGTCCCTGCCATTGAGAATGTGCCAGTTTTGGGGAAGGGGAGGGGCTCTAGGTAACTGCAGTGGGAGGAGAACCTCGGCAGTGGGCAAGCATGGAGGCAAAGCCAAGGCACTGGCAAAAGGAAGCAGAGCAAAGGGCGGGACAGCTGCCGCGGTGGAGTCTGACCTCTGGAAGACAGCCGGTCTCTCCTCCCAGATCTGCGAGAAGTTTGGGCCCAATCTGGACACGTGCCCTGAAGGCACCATCCTGGGACTGCGGCTGGACAGCTCTGGGGGGCTGCATCTTCATGTTAATGGGGTGGACCAGGGGGTAGCTGTGCCAGATGTGCCCCAGCCCTGCCATGCGCTTGTGGACCTCTATGGGCAGTGTGAGCAGGTTAGTGGCAGTGGGGGCAGGGAGGAGGGGTGCCTGAGAGTCTGCGCTGTCCAGGACAGGGGAAATCTCTGTTCCAGGGAGGGATCAGCAGGCCCTGGGGTCTGACCAAGCTCTGTCTGACTACCCTCTCCCCTGCAGGTGACAATCGTGAACCCTGAGCCAGGGGCTGCCAGTGGGAAAAGTGCTGGAACCCAAGGGGACATGGAGAAAGCAGACATGGTGGACGGTGTGCCAGCCCAAAGGGACCCAGCTCCTGCCCCTACTCCCCCACCCTCACCCTTCTAGCCCAGCTCCTGTGACCTGTGCCCCTCTGCTCCCTCAGGTATCAAAGAGAGTGTGTGCTGGGGTCCACCACCTGCCGCTAGTCCTCTAAAGAGCTGCGAGTACCATGCCCTTTGCTCTCGCTTCCAAGAACTCCTGCTGCTTCCCGGTGAGTCCCACAGTCCGCCAGAACTGACTTCATTCCCAGGGCCAGGCCTAGAGCCTTGGAGAGCAGCTGGAGGGTGCCACTGTGGTTGAGGTGGGAGCCACAGCACCAAGCCTGCTACTCACTGTCCCGCAGAAGATTATTTCATGCCTCCGCCAAAGCGAAGCCTGTGCTACTGTGAGTCTTGCCGGAAGCTGCGAGGAGACGAGGCCCACAGGCGCAGAGGGGAGCCTCCCCGGGAATATGCACTGCCCTTTGGCTGGTGCAGGTTCAACCTCAGGTACATATGGGCAAGGTCATGCCTTTCCCCTACTGTTTTCCCCCTGGAGAAACGGGGATCCCAAGAGGGTGCATGGAAGAAGTAATAGAACTTCCTGTCTAAGGAAAAGCCAGGAAGTGCCAGGGACTTCCTGTCTAAGGAAGAGCCTCGTGAAGCTCCTCCACTGGGGAGTCAGTGGCCTTCGTTGTATCTGCCCCGCTTGTCCACCTCCTAGAGTGAATCCCCGCCTGGAGGCTGGGACACTAACCAAGAAGTGGCACATGGCATATCACGGGAGCAATGTTGCCGCTGTACGGAGAGTGCTGGACCGAGGGGAGCTGGGAGCAGGTACTGGCGAGTAGGCCCATGCAAGGTGGGCTGAGCCTGGGGGGCTGTGGAGGAATAAAAAGGGCTATCCTGACCCAGTTCTCCTCCCAGGTACTGCCTCCATCCTGAGCTGCCGTCCTTTGAAGGGAGAACCTGGGGTAGGGTTCGAGGAGCCTGGCGAGAACTGTGCACCTCCTCGGGAGGAGCAGCCCCCTCCTGTGCTGCTTTCCCCCTCCCTTCAATATGCTGGGGCGGAGACCCTGGCCTCCAAAGTGCAGTGAGTACTGGGAGGGGTGGGGAGAGATTTCCAGGGGCTCGGATGGAGAGGGCCCAAGCGCAGCCACTGGGGTCTTCATGATTCGCCCTCCCCTTTTCTCATCTCGTCTTGCTAGCTGCCAGTCTCCAACTCAGCCCTTTCTTCATTCATTGAACAAATACTACTTATATACTCTTCTAGTGGGCAAAAAAAGGAACCTTGCTCTTGTGGAACTTCTGCCTTTTCTCTCTACAATGTTCATACGTAATAAGTATTATTTATTTATTTATTTTTATTTTTATTTTTTTTGAGACGGAGTCCTGCTCTGTCACCCAGGCTGGAGTGCAGTGGCGTGATCTCACTGCAACCTCCACCTCCTGGGTTCAAGCGATTCTCCTGCCTCAGCCTCCTGAGTAGCTGGGACTACAGGCACGCACCACCAAGCCCGGATAATTTTTGTATTTTTAGTAGAGACGGGGTTTCGCCATGTTGGCCAGGATGGTCTCGATCTCCTGACCTCGTGATCCGCCCACCTCGGCCTCCCAAAGGGCTGGGACAGGCGTGAGCCACCGCGCCCCGCCAGTATTTAGTATTTTTAAAGGTAATAAGTAAGGACTATGGAAACAGAGAAAGAATGGGGCGGAGACAGCAGTGCGGTTGGTGTGGACATCCTAAGAAGGTGGGAGAGATTCGAGCAAAGGCTTGAAGAAGGAAGTGAAGGGTGTAGCTGAGCAGGCTTTGGGAGGAAGAGCATTTCAGGTAGAACAGCTAGAGCGAAGTTCCCATAAGGTGGGAGTATTTCCTAGGTACAGCAAGGCTTGTGTGGTTGGAACAGACTTTGCAAGGGGGAGGTGATGGGGCGAGAGGCTTCACTCCCTTATTTTTTCTTGTCTGACAGATTCCGGGACCCCAAATCCCAGCGGACGCACCAGGCTCAGGTGGCGTTCCAGGTGTGTGTGCGCCCTGGCTCCTACACCCCGGGACCCCCTTCCGCTGCCCTTGGAGAACCTCCTGACCCTCACTTCAGTCCAGCCGAACTTGAGTGGGTCACTAAGGAGAAGGGGGCCACACTCCTCTGTGCCCTGCTGGTACGGGTGGAATGAGGGGTGAGACACCACTACTACAAGCACAGTCGGGCCGCGGGCCCATGGACTCTGAGTGGCGACTGCCTCCACCTCATTCCCGTGACTCGTGGCATGCGCAGGTGCTGGAGCTTGGCAGCCGCGCAGGAGCATGTAGGCAGGCTCTCAGATGTAGGTGGCAAGTGGCACAGCTCCATGTCCGGAGGCCCAGCACTCCGTCTGATGGGAGGAGTCGTGGGAGCCCAGCTCCAGGCCCTGGTACCCCTCTTCATGCACTGATTTGGGGAACATGACTCCCTTTTACTCCCCTACCCCACATCACTTAATTTATTTCCGTTTTTGTTTCTGGTTACTGTGAATCCCAGAGGAGTCTCTCCCTGTGCCCACATGAAGCTGCTTTTTCCGGGGCCACCGGGCGGGAGTGGGGAAGGGTGGGCGCACGGAAGATGGGGGCCTCTGTACAGTTGTTACTGACTCTGATTTCTAAGGAGCCAATAAACACCGTCTCAGAGCCTCCGCCTCGGCCTCTCTCTCGCGCGCCCCTCTCCGGAGCCCGCGTCCCCTGGGGTGCCACCAGGTGGGCCCGCGAAATTAAAGAGAGCTGAGGATGCCAAGGCCAGTCTGCAGCCGTCGTCGCTCACGTTCCCGGCGACGGGGTTTGTACGCCGCGGGCACCCGTCGCAGCGCGCTTCCGCCTTCTTTCACCTGTGAGGTCGGCCGCCGCCGTGACTCCGGAAGGACTCGGCCGGGCCGCCGGATGTGACGCAGGGGCCAGGGCGCGTCGGAGCCGCTGAGAAAGCGCAGAGAAGGCGGGTAGGAAGGGCAGTCGTCCGCGCTGGCTGGGCAGGGAGCGGCAGCAGCGAGCCGGGGACCCCGGCGCCGCCCGCGCGCGGTGGGACTGGGGCTGCGGTCCCGGCCGGGTGGCGGGCTCCTGGGACACGTGACCGGGGCGGCGAGCGGGCCGGGCGGACGGGCTTCCGCCTGGGCCGGGCGCGGCCCCCTCTGAGCGCCCGCCTCCCCGCAGGCCCCGTCTGAGGTCTGGCAGTCAGAGACAGCCGGGCGCCCACGGCCCGAGCGCCCACGGCAGCACCATGCCCGCACTCCTGGAGCGCCCCAAGCTTTCCAACGCCATGGCCAGGGCGCTGCACCGGCACATTATGATGGAGCGGGAGCGCAAGCGGCAGGGTGAGCCGGGGCCATAGCAGGGGGACGCACGGCCCAGAATGGCTCCTGTACCTCAAGGCTGGCCTCAACCCACCGGCCAACCAGCGCGCCCGCTGCCGAGCGCAGAGGAGGGAAGGAATAGCCCCGTTGTGGTGGGATTTAAGCGTCCTGTTCCACGCTCCAGAACCCTTGAGATGGGAAGGACCTTGGAGAGCACCTGATAAAGCCTTTCCGTTCCCTATTGCCGCGATGGGGAGCTTGTCCCCTCGAGGCAAAGAGCATACAGGCGTGTTGGGATGACTGGGTTTTGCTGGTCTTCAATCTGTAACGTTGGAATTGTTTTCACTACCCTGCCTCTTCTTCATTCTGCCTGATTCTCCAGAGGAAGAAGAGGTGGATAAGATGATGGAACAGAAGATGAAGGAAGAACAGGAGAGAAGGAAGAAAAAGGAGATGGAAGAGAGAATGTCATTAGAGGAGACCAAGGAACAAGTAAGCAGTCCCTTGAACTTTCCCAGCTTTGATTTCTTCGTTTGACTCTCCCTGCCTTCATCTTCTTTTCCCACCCCATCCCAGATTCTGAAGTTGGAGGAGAAGCTTTTGGCTCTACAGGAAGAGAAGCACCAGCTTTTCCTGCAGCTCAAGAAAGTTTTACATGAGGAAGAAAAACGGAGGCGAAAGGAACAGAGGTGGGATCAGAGTGCTAAAAACTGAAATGGGGGCCAAGTGGAACTGGGATCAGGTAGTAAAAGAACCAGTGTTTAATGGCAAAAGAGAAGGCATCTGTCCTTGACTTTGACCTGTCTTCCTTTCACTCCAGTGACCTGACCACCCTAACATCAGCTGCATACCAGCAGAGCCTGACTGTTCACACAGGAACTCATCTCCTCAGCATGCAGGGTGAGGACTAAAGAAACCACCAGATGGAACCGGCCTTCTTGGAGGTCACAGCCTCCCATTTCAGCATCATGAAGCCCTTCTCCCTTTCTAGGGAGCCCTGGAGGACACAATCGCCCAGGCACCCTCATGGCAGCTGACAGAGCCAAACAAATGTTTGGACCCCAAGTGCTTACGGTGAGAGTAGGATTGGATGCCTAGCCCCTAGTACTTCCATCCATGCATCCTTGCCACCAGTATTCAAGTCACAAACATATCAAGCACTTAAGTTTAGGGGGAAACGGGGCATACAGATACACACAAGTCACTGGGTTTCAGCTTTCAAGGAGTTTGTAGGCGAGTTCTCATTCTCCTTCCTTAGACCCGGCACTACGTGGGCTCAGCAGCTGCTTTTGCAGGGACACCAGAGCATGGACAATTCCAAGGCAGTCCTGGTGGTGCCTATGGGACTGCTCAGCCCCCACCTCACTATGGGCCCACACAGCCAGCTTATAGTCCTAGTCAGCAGCTCAGAGGTGAGTAATAGGAGGGATGGGGCTTGGCCTTCCTCAAGGTCAAAGGAGGAATGCCATTCAGTAAAAGATTTTAATGGCTCTGTCTTTTCCTTTCTCAGCTCCTTCGGCATTCCCTGCAGTGCAGTACCTATCTCAGCCACAGCCACAGCCCTATGCTGTGCATGGCCACTTTCAGCCCACTCAGACAGGTGATAACATCCCATGCAGGAGCTCTAGCTCTCAGGTCCTCCCCTCCCTGTTTCATTCTCATCTCACATGCCCCTCTTCCCCACCTAGGTTTCCTCCAGCCTGGTGGTGCCCTGTCCTTGCAAAAGCAGATGGAACATGCTAACCAGCAGACTGGCTTCTCCGACTCAGTGAGTATGGCACCTTGGGAGGTCAGGGTTAGGGATATGTTAAGGGGAGCTTCAGTATGCCTCAGGCCCTGACTCTGTTCTCTGCAGTCCTCTCTGCGCCCCATGCACCCCCAGGCTCTGCATCCAGCCCCTGGACTCCTTGCTTCCCCCCAGCTCCCTGTGCAGATGCAGCCAGCAGGAAAGGTAAGAATGGTAATAGAATTTACCTGTCAGAATCCCTACACTAGGGATCCGGAAAAGCAGGATTAGGTAGGACAGGTGGCCCACATCATCTGGTTTTTCCTTCCTCTTTGGGGGTGGTTATCAGTAGGGTATTAAGTGGAAGGGAGAGTATGCCCAGTGACAAAGCCCTCTTTTCATCACCACCACCAGTCGGGCTTTGCAGCTACCAGCCAACCTGGCCCTCGGCTCCCCTTCATCCAACACAGCCAGAACCCGCGATTCTACCACAAGTGACCATCAGATTATATCTTCAACACCACACCCCCCACCCCATCGTGGGTGAGGGTATCCCCTGTGTGTCCCAGGCCAATAAAATCTACCTGCCACTGCCCCTGGCTGCTGCTGTTTGTGTTGCCTCCCACCCAACTGTCTGGAATAGGTCAAGGTTGCTTGGAGGGTGGGGGGATGGCTGGCAGGTCCACAGCAAGTCAAAGTGATAGACAGCGGGTTCCAGTGAACTCAGTGGCAGAGTTCAGTCTTTTTGTGGCTTCCAAATACACCCATTTAATTCAAATAAGCAGCTGAGTTGGGGGCTTCATATTAAACTTGTAGTTTTATTCAGGTTTGATTTTAACAAATGTGTCGGGGAGAGAGCCCGCAGGGAAGGGTAAAGCCCATGGGGGCAGGGCCCTCCCAGATGCCTGAGGAGGGGGCAGGTCCCCTCCCCTCTCCTCCTCTTCCCTCCCCATCTAAAGGGGTTTGGGGAGAGACACAGGCAGGCGAGGGGGCTGGTCCCCAGTCTGTTGGGGTGGTGCTCAGGGTAAAGGGCTATAGGCAACAGGGGACCAGACCAGGGATGAGTGGGGAGGGCACAAGGACCATTTGCCAGAATCCACCGCTTTCTGATTCCAGATTGAATTAAAAAAAAAAAAAAAAAAAAGACTAAACCACAAGCAGCACCCACCCCCTTCTCCCCCACCAGGGCTGTAGTGTGAGGGGAGAAGAGGAGGGCAGCTTCACCAAGGCCACAGCTTCGCTCGCTCCTGGCCAAGGGAGCTAGGTGAAGGGCAGGGGCTCCCCGACAGATTGAGGGGGTGGGGAAAACCAAAATAAAACGTCAAATAAATTGTGTAGGAGGAGTCCAGCTTAGGACCGGGCCAGAGCCAGGCCAGGCTCGGGGAGGGGGCCTCTGCAGGTTCAGAGGATCACTGCTGCCACCACCGCCACCCTAGGTAGGAGAGAGAAATTAGTAAGACAGGATAATACCTTCAACAGGAAGGATAGGGAGGACAGAGCCAGGCTAGGGGCAGAAAGTAAGCCTGAAACAATTAAGACTACAGCAGCTCTGCTGAGGACAACAAAATGTGAAGGGGACAGTGAGGGATTTGTCACACTCACCTGGGAGCCAGTTATTTTGCCATGGCCTTGATTGCAACAGCTGCCTCCTCTGTCATGGCAGACAGCACCGTGATCTGGAGAAGCAAGAGGGATAGCCAAGAGATGTCTGAGCTCAGGAAGAAACGTACAGAACAAAGCTGAGCACAGAAGCAGGGAGGGAGGCACCATACCAGGATCTCTTCTCCACAGTCGTACTTCTGCTCAATCTCCTTGCCAAGGTCTCCCTCAGGGAGACGAAGGTCCTCTCGTACCTCCCCGCTGTCCTGGAGCAGTGATAGGTACCCATCCTGGATGCCAATCAGCTGGGGGCAGATAGGGAAGGAGGCTGAAGGTAGTAGGCCCAGGGAGGCTGACATGACAGTAAAGGCTCTGATAGACAAACTGGACTGATAGCAAACTAATACCAAACACCCTCTCCTGCCATTTCCCTCCTCTCTCCCAGCACAAGCTCTCCTGGTCAGTCCCTATCCCCCAACCCCTCCCTCCACCATAAACCGCTAACCCATCCTCATCCAGACCATCTACATACCTGGAAGTCATTCCTTTTGATGTTGGGGACATCCATATTATGAGTTGACGGGCAGATATCTTCATATTTCTTCCCAGTAAAGATGTCAATACCAACCAGATGGACCTGTATGTATGCATCACAAAGAGAAACCCAACCAAACTCTAAAACGGAGGAAATAAAGGCTCAAATTGACCTTGCCTGATGAGGGAAGTCAGAATTACATTGTTGGGGCAAAGACTGGAGTGTTGGAATTGAACCAGTCAACTCAAGAAACAGTAAAGCCTCTTAAAGAAAAAAAACAGAGGCTAAAAAACCACCGTTGAGATTGGGGTTGACAGCACAATAGAAAACTGCATGGCAGGCTTGGAGAAGACAGTTACCTTGATAAAAGATAAGATGCTAAGAGTCTAGGGGAGTGGGAGGAGTCTGAGTAAAAGTTTCGAAGAGTTTTCCGGACACCAGGAGAAGGAGCTGAGAAACTGGGGAATAAGGAAGGTAGAAGGGAAAGGATAAGAAACTAAGAAATGTGAAAGAGCTGAAGAAAAGGACTTGCAGGGAGATCAGAAATAACTATGTAGCTAGAAAATAAGGAAGCCAGAAGAGCACAGAGAGGGATCCAGACACTAGAGAATAATCCAAGATCAATGTCAAGTCAAAAGATGGAAAAACTGATTAAGGAAAAACACCACAAGAAATTCAACAAGAACGAATCAGGTTGAAATTCTAAAGAGACAGGAAAAGTCTGAGGTGATGAGGGAAGTGCTAGCAAGAATGTTAAAACCCATGAAAGCATGGAGGCTCAAGGAACCCAAGGAGAGTGGGATGGGGCAGGTAGGGGCAGTTTGATCCTGCGTCAGAGTTCCAAAGGGAAAGCTAGAACTGGGGAACGAAGCAGCAAGGTGACCTGAAAGCTCAGAATTGACGCAGGAGTCCCTCCAGGGGAAGGCGTAGAATTGGAGAAACCCTGGGCAACGTGATGGAAGCAACCACTTAACAACGGCTCAAGGGAAGAAAGAAAAAGTGAAAACCAAGAATAAGGAAGGAGCAACTGAATAGCTAGAGCATAAAGGCCTATGAATTGAAGAGATTGGCACAAAGCTGGAGAAACGGAGGGACTGCCAGAGAATGATGCGGGGACAGAAGGGTAACCACAGAAGAGGCTGAAGACTGGGGAGCAGGTGTAGTTGTCTGAATGGGTATGAAGGCTGAGCGCTAAACAAAAACAATCAGACAGTAAAAGCAGAGTTAAAGGAAAGTCAGCACTGTTGGCAGCTTGCTGCTGGGAGCGCCAAAGATACTGGAGGCATGGGGAAGGCAAGATGCGGAGGTGAAATTCTAACCTTGGCGTGGCCGTGCTTGCCAGTCTTCGAAGTAGACATCTCGACGATCTTACATGGCCGGCCTTTGAGCACCACAAAGCCATTCTTACGTAATGCTGAGCACTGCATTGGGAAGGTGGCTGAGGCCCCTGCATCTCCTGTCTCGAAGTCCAAGTCATCTGCCATTTTAAGAGGCTTCGATTCCAACTAGAGCCAAGAAGAGAACTGAAGTGAATAAGCATGGAGGTCAACAGGACCTCCAATCTATCCCATTTCTCTCCAGAAACATTTTCCCAACTCTTTATTCCATTACCCACCTAAAATAAAGTCAAAGTTCCTGAACTTAAAATACTGACTGGGCTCAAATATACTCAAGAACTGGTGTGTGTATGGGAGGGTGGAATAGCTGGTTTCTCCCCCATAAATCAAAGCTAAAGTGGTGGCTTGGGAAAGGAAGGCTCTAGGGAGCTGGAATGTCAAATCTCAGAGATGAGAAAAGGCCTACTTCCTGGGAGTGGGGAGGACTCAG